>NC_000003.12:104917695-105220725 GCF_000001405.40 Homo sapiens
CACTCTTCTGCATATTCTCAGCTCCATATGGCCTAAAACCATGCCCTTACATGTCATGGGACCCAATAACAATGACTTAAACTAGATTTTCTAATTTACATCTCATGAGAAGTTTACCCATATTGTTTTACACTTTCCCAAATGAACTTTTAAAAATTATTATAATATCATTGGCTTTGACTTTAAATGGTATTCTCGCAAACCATGATGAGTAGGGAAACATTGCATAGCTCCAGGATATTTAACTTTTGTTCCAAATTCTTATCCATGTTTCATGGTTTGAGAAGTCTTGTTATGTGTCCCTTTTCATAGTACTAGATTTCTGAGTATCACAAAGAGAGAATGTTTTCTCTCTTTGCTTTAGTATCTTAAATCTGTTTAAAGGGTAAATGAGGTAAACCTTGCCAGTTACTCAAAAGATGAATAGAACATTAAGTTTTGGGTTTACAAAGAATTTTGGGTTTACTAGATTATGTATGGTGTTGACCTTTACAAGAAAAGCAAGAAGGCAGTACAGTTATACAAGAATCCACAGCATGATTTATTTTCCATTAGTTCTGTGAGTTTAATGGAGAACAAGATCATAGGGGATAATTTTAAATCAATGAAGTAAAATAAAGTGAAGGGAAGAGAGTTGTTAAGTGCATTTAGGAGTCCCTTTTAGGTAGCTTGGACTAGCAGTAAGTTTTCTCTTTTTTGTTTTCTCGTGACTCTGAAGTAGAGGTAACTTTCTGGCAAACTTTAGAATGGGAGCTACTCATACACTAATGAACGATATTTGGGTTATAAAGCAGTAGGAATTTTGTTTAGGGAGAAATGTATCTAATCCTTGTTATTTGAGAAAAATTTTGGATAGTATGTTCTTTCCAAACCTATCATTCCACAAGACACCCATACTTCTGACACTTAAAGTTTTTTATTTTCAAGATTATTGTGCAAATTCTAGCTAACTGACACTTTAGGTTCATTAAATCCTTTTCACAACTAATTGACACCTCAGTTTGAGTAAGATTGATGGAAATAAGTCTGAGAATAGTTCTTGAGTTAGGGAAAGACTAAGGGAGAAAGGAGAAAGGGGTTTTGAGGTAGTTAATATGGTTACAACATAGGGGACATCCAATGTTCAAACAGGAAAAGCCCAAGACATTTCGATGTACATGATTTAGGACAAAATTGGAAAAGTCCTTAAATACGTAAATGATTTCAGTCCAATAGACAGGCTTCTTCAATCCAAAATATTATTTCTGATTGACAAAACCAGTAAAAGATTTAGCCTACCTGCCCTGACAGAGCAGATCAGATAGCATTTGGTAACCAATAATTTCCATAATGAGTGATAATACTTTGGCATCACTAGTGGGTTAAATCCCTGAGTTTTAAAGTTAGACCATTTAGGCTCCAATTTTTGCTCTATTGCTCCTAAACTAAGTAGGCTTGGATATATTATATAATCTCCCTTGTTGCCAATTTTCTTGTATGTAAACTGAGAATGTTGCTTAGAAGTCAGAAAGAACACAATAGTAATACATAGTAAATATAATGATTGATTTGATGAGAGCAATAATGGTAGCCTAGGAAAAGAAGTGACTGCTTTGCCTATGGGAGTTAGAGACAGCTTCCCAAAAGAGGTAAAATGAGTTAAAATCTAAATAATGTGAAGGAATTTGCCAAGTATATAAATTTCAGCTGTGAATTTTATGTGATTAAAAACCTCATGCAAAGCCAAGAGGTACGAGAGTGCATGTTAAGCTGTAATTTAGGATGTTTGGAGTTTAAAGGGCAAGAAGGACCTAATATAAACCGAGGCAATGGGGAACCACAGATTATTTAGAGCAGAGGTAATATATGTATAACCTTCAAAATTCATGTTGAAACTTAATCCGCATTGTGGTGGTATTAGGAAGTGGGGCCCTTTGGTAAGTGATTTAAGATGATGGTTCAGTAAAACTTGCATAGTTATCATTCAGTAGTATCAGCTAAAATATTCTTAACAAAGTATTGTTTTCTTTTCTTTCAAAAAAAGTATACGAAATCTTTTGAACATATTGAAGACAGTTCAATATGTGTCTGGGAGATCGACAGACACAGTTTTGTAAGCCTAAAACGAGTCCAATATCTTCCCCCAACAATTTTAAAAGCTATTCCAAAACATGGTATTTCTTCCTTGGTATGCTGAGGTGGAGGTGGGTAGTTACTAAAGATTAAGTTTTTTGGTCCCAAAACCTTACCTAGGAATAGCCCTCTTTGAATGTAAGACTGTGGTGGTTTTCCACAAATCTGTGGACAACTCCTAAAAAAGTCCAGTATCAGCCTAACACATCATGCAGTGACCAGGAGTTACAGGACGACCAAATGGAAAACATGGCTTCATGGGACAAATCATTCAATTAGTTGTAGGGACCCTAGGATTACATGTTTGAGGTTTAGGGGAGGGCCCTTTAGCAGCTCTGTGCCTGTATTAGTCCATTCGCATTATGCTATAAGGACATACCCAAGACTGGGTAATTTATAAAGGAAAGAGGTTTAATTGACTTATAGTTTTGCATGGCTGGGTAAGTCTCAGGAAACTTACAAGCAGGGCAAAAGGGGAAGTAAACACGTCCTTCTTCACAAGGCAGCAGGAGAGAGAAGAATGAGAACCAAGTGAGGGGGAAAGCCTCTTAAAAACCATCAGATCTTGTGACAACTTATTCACTATCATGAGAATAGCACAGGGGAACCACCCCCATGATTTAATCACCCACGTGGTGCCTCCCCCAACACGTGGGGATTACAATTCGCATTACAATTTAAGATGAGATTTGGGTGGGGACACAGAGCCAGACCATATCAGTGCCTCTGTGTCTTCCACTACAACGCTGTATATAACAAGTGTCCAACTGCCTTCTGTGAGGAAGTAGAGAGAAATGTGTCACAGAAACAAATGTAGTGTCATTCCTCCTCTGGAATTAATGTAGCAGTGATGGTCCAACTGGAGAAGGCCAGCATAATTAATCTTTAACTTGGAAATATCCTGATGATTCGGCACATTTCTATTAGGTCTGATTTTTGAACTATTGTCAAGGGATATTAAACAAATCTAGGAATAGGCAAGATAAATACCTTTTACTTTCTTGCTTATCATTTTGCTTTACTTTCTTGTGGAAGGCACATATTTAATAGGATACAGACATAAATATGCTGAAATTTCACTTTTTTATTTCACATAATTTTGAGTCAATATTCTGTCTGATATAGAATGCTTAATTTAGTTGCTTATATAAAACTTTATCAAGCTGATAATTTATGCTACCTCATTCAGGTTTCAAACGCAGCCACTTTCTGAAGCAGTCCCCTTCCTCTCTTTTCTGGGGCTGATTCTGAGCACCCTAGTTTATCCAGTGGATCACTTGATCTTCAAACCATCAGATCTCTACCCCCCCAATGTCTCTATTCCATTCCAAGAGGCATGAGAATTTCAAGACACTCTCTCATACCCCAATAAGGTACTAGAAATGTTAAAGGGCTTGGGAGGATCTTTCATGCTTAGACAAACCCAAGAGACCCCCTATAAGGCATGTCATTGACTTGGATGACCTCCAGAAATCAAATATAGCTATTCCAGATAGACAGCACTACAGCTTACCCCTTCTTCTTAAGCCATGGAAGAGATGGCTTAGATTGACCTGATAATGATTGAGGATGATCATATCCTTTATATACACACACAGCTTCTACTCATTCCTTGGTGTTGTCTCCAGCTCTTTCCACCAATTTTAGGCCTATGGCTTAGTAAGGTAAACAAAAGGAGCACATTCTTAAATATGTCTTCCTTCAAGATTTTAAAACAATAATTGTGGATTTTTGTTCTTTGATTTACTATACTCGAGCCTAAAGCAAAGACTGCATATAGTAGTTTGTGTGAAAGGTTGTCAATGAATGCTTCGAATATGGTTCTTTGAGTGCTTCTGCCAAGGGTAAATTTTTACCAAAACAATGGATTTTGCAAACATTTCTAAGCATGAAAACAATATGGCTAAATTAGCACTTATCAGAGAGCTCAATCTCAAATTCAGTTCTAGTTAGCTCTTATTAAAATTGATGTTAGAAACAAATAGTTTTTGAACAAGTAAGTTTAAAGATCATGCTATACTACCATTGTTCCAGCGCAGTGCTTTTCAAACCTGTTAGAATCACCTTTTCAAACCTGTTACAAGTTACAAAGCTTGTAAAAATTACCCATGTTATGCTTCATTCCATACCAGTTATATCAGAATCTCAAAGGGTGGAGCTTAGGCATTAACTTTTTAAAACAAAAAGTAAAATAAAAATAAAGCTCCTGAAGCTTTACTGTTTCAGATGTTTTAATGTTTTAAAACATTTAAATATTTTTATGGATTTAATGTGCAGCCAGAGTTGAGAGTCACTTGTCTAAACTGTCAATAACCATTGCTTTTATTGGATTATTAAGATTGGGTATAAGAAAGAGTTATAGGAAAAACAGTTTCTAACTTCTACAGACTTTCCACTGTGTTGCTCAATAACCATTTGATATGGTTTGGCTGTGTGTCCCCACCCAAGTCTCATCTAGAATTGTACTCCCATATTTCCCACATGTTATTGTAGGGACCCTGTGGGAGATAACTGAATCATGGGGGCAGTTTCCCCATACTGCTGTCGTGGTAGTGAATAAATCTCATGAGAGCTGATGGTTTAATCGGAGGTTTCCACTTTTGCGTCTTCCTCATTCTCTGCCTGCTGCCATCCATGTAAGACGGCACTTGCTCCTCCTTGCCTTCCACCATGATTGTGTGGCTTTCCCAGCCACATGGAGCAGTAAGTCCAATTACATCTCTTTCTTTTTTAAATTGCCCAGTCTTGGGTACATCTTTATTAGCAGCGTGAAAATGGACAAATACACCACTATAAAGAGAATAACATGCTAAATGTCTATTATTTTAGCATCATGAAAATTTCCATTTTGGTCTCATTGAAATATAGATATGCTCCCTGACATCAGAGGAATGCTTGCAATCTATTTGGTCTTATTTGTGCTTTAGTAGCCAGAAAGTCTGGGGCTGAAATGATTGCCCTGTTGCATAATTATTTCATGTTTAAATTACTAATTAATATTACCCCCTTATTTAATATCATCCCATTACAGTGAATTCAGTATTATTTTTATTCTAAATCAAAGTTAATATCAGAATAAGCATTAAATTCATTGATCACCTATTTGAGAGCTGGTTATTAGTATGAAATTTTTGCAACAGTATCATGTCAGCTGGTTTAATCCCTAGTTGCCATTCCTGAATACATTTCCTGGTTTTTAGCTTGCATTAATTTGGAAGTTTCCATTACTTATCTATATCTGTTGGGAAGACAGTCTTGTCATTATACAAATGTATTTTACTTTATAAAATGATGTGTTTCTGAAACTTCAGGTATCAACCAACCTTTTAAGACTCAATTATATTTTAAATACATGAGATCTATCTTTTTAAAGCATTAAGCAGAAAGTATTTTTTCTGTGTGTGAATTGAATCATCATTTTGTAAGACATCTTACCTTACTCATTTATAATGGAATTCAAGAATTTTCAATTATATCTGTACTTTTAATTTATGTAAGGTTATTATTATTACTATCTTTACTGCATTTGTTTCAAACCTAAAATGTTCATGATCCCAATTGTTTTATTCTAAGAAACTCTAAATAGATGGCCTTTGCTTCATGATTATCTCTAGAAGTTCAGGATAAACTTGAGGAGTTTGAATTAAGGTTGACCTAAAGTATTAGCATACATTTAATGCTGGAAGGAGCAATTTGGGACTTCTTAGGTGATATTAGAAAAAAAGAGAAAAATAATTTCTTCTTTTGTTTTTGAGAATGGAGTTTAAAACGTGATTGGAAAAAGAGTAATCTAAAGATATTTTGCCATAGGCAGTGTAGGTTGGCATCAATCTCCACACCTAAAAAAAAACTGTGACTGTTCAGAAAGTAGCCTTTTAAATGGCTCCATGAATATATCAGAATTATAATATTATAGGCTATTAAAGTTGGAAAGGATTTTTGAGAATATTTAACATAACACTTCAATATTTTAGATTAGACAATGATATCCAAAGAGATAAAATAATTTCCCAGGGATAAGTTTATTTGTAGCCGCGTATGAATAAGAACCTCATTTAGCTTCTTGGTTCAAACATTAAATATCTCTCCTTTAAGCTCAAAACAAAATGCTTTGCTCCAAATCCTCCTATTTAACACCCTACAGTTTCAATTGTAGACTTCTAGCAATCGTTAAGCATCTCAGAAAGAGTGTCAAAATGCTAACAGTGAAGATATCCATGCTTGTCATTTCCAAGAACTAAAATAAGTTTCAAGACTGGGCTACCATGACAGAGGTTGGATAGAAATTTTGCTAATATTGAATTTGTATTTTCTCTTGAAGTTATTTTTCCTTATATTTCCCTTTTAATTCACACACTTACTCAAATATATATAGTATCCAATCTTCTGAGACCATTTTTCTACTCTTTTTTCTTTACTAGTCACAAGTGAGTTATTTCATCAATGGTCTAATTTCCCACAAGCAAGTTTTTTTTTTTTAGCCTTCTATAATTATAATGTGTCAGAGGGAGGACATATCAACCAGATCTTTGCTACTGAATGATGTCCCAGATTAGCAGCGTCAGCATCATCTAGAACCTTGTTAGAAATACAGATTCTCAGGCCCTGTTCCAAATCTACTGAATCAAAATCTGCATTCTGAAAAGAAGAGAATGACTCTAGGTGAGTCCCATGCACATTAAAGTTGGAAAAATGACTGAACTCAATCAATAATTTATGTAGATGTCAAGGGAAAAGTAATTTAAAGGTCCATAGTAAGACTATTTGTATTATGAATATTAGTTTAAAAACTCAATTCAATTCAATTTAAAAGGGACAGCTAAAGTGAAGACATCAAAGATAAATGGAGTAAACTCTCTGTTTTGCTTTGCTTTGTTTTCTTAGCTACTTCTGTTATTTATTTATTTAGGTAAAACAGAAGTCTACCATTCTCTAAAGCAGCATTGCCTATGTTAACAACATAGTTTTTCTTTTTAAATGTTCAAAGGTCATACAGGTTCCCAGAAACACAATGATAATTGAAATTACTAAAAGAATGAAAAATATCACTTTTGCATACAGTGGCAACACTACAATAAGATAAAAGGTGAGAGGTGGAAAGAAGTGGTGCAAGAAAACTACTTTTGAAAGATAATCATTGAATCATTCATCCGATAATAAATCCATATATTATCTCATAAATGGATTATACTGTAGACTTGAATACTCCTCACTCTTTTTTTTTTTTTTTTTGAGAAGGTGTTTCGCTCTTGTCGCCCAGGCTGGAGTGCAATGGCATGATCTCAGCTCACTGCAACCTCTGCCTCCCGGGTTCAAGCGATTCTCCTGCCTCAGCCTCCCTAGTAGCTGGTGATCCGCCCGCCTCAGCCTCCCAAAGTGCTGGGATTACAGGCATGAGCCACTGCACCCGGCCTCCTCACTCTTGACATACATGCTGCCTCAAGTGGTCTGTCAACACAAATATAGGACCCCTTGGTCAAAGAATACCCATTCTGCTTTCTACCACATTGGTGTCACCTCTAATATATACATCTTTAATTCAATTAGGTATTTTTAACGGGTCAAAATGTTAATTTTACTTTTAAAAGGTTTCAGAATAATTGGGAAATTTGGCAAAGGAGATGTGGTGAGATGGTCATGGCTTTACTTAAACTAAATTCACTCTAAGGAAAATCTACGAGAGGGAACCAGCAGGTTACCTGTTCACTGAAGCAGAAAAAAGTCTACTACGCAAAAGAAAAGGGAGCACTTTTTAAACAATTTTTCCATTTGAGTTTCTGGAGAGTATACATCTTTACAATTGGTAGTCTGCGTGATAAACCAGTAAGAAATACTAAGGTTCTTTATAAAAGTTGTCATATAGTTTCCAGCAACTTGTCAATTTGGACAATGATGTTTCACTACTCACTCTGGAACAGACACTGGTGAACAAACATCTACAATAGTTTTGCTGAAAAATATTCACAGGCTGGCCGCGGTGGCTCAATCCTGTAATCCCAGCACTTTGGGAGGCCGAGGCGGGTGGATCACGAGGTCAGGAGTTCGAGACCAGCCTTACCAACATGGAGAAACCCCGTCTCTACTAAAAATATAAAAATTAGCCAGACGCGGTGGTGCAGGCCTGTAATCCCAGCTACTCGGGAGGCTGAGGCAGGAGAATCACTTGAACCTGGGAGTCAGAGGTTGCAGTGAGCCGAGGTTGTGCCACTGACTCCGGCCTGGGCAACAGAGTGAGACTCCGTCTCAAAAAACAAAAATATATTCACAAAAAATTTTGGTTGCAACTTTTAGAAAAAGAAGTTTCATTTCTCAGAAGGAACAGTTTGCTTTTGTACTTAGATCAGTACATGTCACAGTTGAGAAATTAAAATGGAAAAGCCTTAATTTAAAGGATTCATTGTCTATTTTAGATTGCTGTATTGCTGTTGTTTCTAATATCTTGTCTGCATTTAATCCCCAAAAGAATAACAGCTCTGAGAACACAGGTGGGAGTGGCTGCTGCTACAATTATCGTTATTTTGTCCCATACGACAGTTGTTAGCCAGTCGGGAGCAAGGGAAATTATTACTATACGGCTAGAGGAGGCCTAAAAACAAGTGATGACATAATTTTCACGCTTCCTTTCCATATGAAGCCATAAAAAAAAGAACAAGAGAGTTGGCTGTTTTCCTTCACACAGTGAGAAATCTAAAATATATGTTACTTTAAGAGAAATAATTTGCTCTAATGTGTTTCACAATGCCTAGCACATGTTAAAGCACTCACAAGTGTTTGTTAAGATCATGAATAAATGAAAAATTGAAATGGAATTGGGGGCGATAAGCCCAAACTTAAAGGCAAAACTTCATATTTTCTGCTATCTACATAAAAGTGGTAAATCATCATTTCTAACTTTTGATTAACAGATTAACATGCACTAGTCTTTTAATAAATGCTGGTATTTTATTAATTCAGCAAGTAGTTGTTGATCTCCTACTAAATGCCAGTCACTGTTCTAGGCACTGAGCATACAAAGATAAATGTCATATTCTCTGACTCAGAAACTCAGAGTCCAGTCTGAGTGCAATGAATACTAGGACATGCCCAGATGCCTTCTTCATGAAAGGAGGACTCATTTCTCCAGCTTCTGGGAGGATTGATGACTGATGACTATACCTGAGTCCCTCTTTGAGAATTTCTCTCAGCCTAAGAGACCTATTGGATACAAGGTCATATGCCTTTCCTAGAGGTAGTCTACATCCAATGACTGGTTGCTATGAGTGAGTTAAATCCTGGCTACCTTGTCTCAAAAAAAAAAAAAATAAGAAGAAAAACTGTGAAGTTCCATTCCAAGTCCAGAGGACTTCAAGTGATTCTTCTGCCTCAGCCTCCCAAGTAGCTGGGATTACAGGCCCGCACCGCTGGGTCCGGCTAATTTTTGTATTTTTAGTAGAGATGGGGTTTCACCATGTTGGTCAGGCTGGTCTTGAACTCCTGAGCTCGTCATCCAAGGTCAGGAGTTCCTGGGGACTTGGCTGAAGACTGTGTTGCAACTGCTTTGCACTGCACCTCTTCTCTTTGCCAAGACCCACATCTCTCATTCTCCTCTGTGTGCCTCTGATAAATTTTCTGTCCCAAAATCTTCATCTCAGAGTTTGTTTCATGGTGAATTCAAACTAAGAGAGTTGAGGCTAGCAGAGGTCTAAGAAATAAGAAGCTGAAATGGATTCTGCAACCAGCTGTAGGGCACTAAAGATGCTCTCCCTAGTACCAGGGCACTAACTGTAGGAGTGCAAACATCAGACTGTTCATGATTAGTAAACTGAGATGGGATATTGATGGAAGGGTATGTACTAGCAGGGACAATACTTAAATTTTTAAGAAGATATATAACATACTAATTATAAATAAAATAAAAATTTGTTGATCTTTTTTTGCAGCTCGATTGAATTTATTTTTTATATATTTTTTACTTTTTAAAAATTTTTGCAGAAGTTATTGGGGTACAGGTGGTATTTGGTTGAATAAGTTTTTTAGTGGTGATTTGTAAGATTTTGGTGTACCCATCTCCTTAGCAGTATACACTGCACCATATTTGCAGTCTTTTATCCCTTGCCCCCCTCCCACCATTCCCCTCAAGTCCCCAAAGTCCACTGTATCCTCATAGCTTAGCTTCTACTAAGCGAGATGTGGACTTCTCATATCAGTGAGAATATACGATGTTTGGTTTTCCATTCCTGAGTTACTTCACTTAGAATAATAGTCTCCAATCTCATCCAGGTCTCTGCAAATGCCATTAATTCATTCCTTTTTATGGCTGGGTAGTATTCCATCATATAAATATACAACAGTTTCTTTATCGACTCATTGATTGATGGGCATTTGGGTTGGTTCCACGATTTTGCAATTGTGAATTGTGCTGCTATAAACATTAGTGTGTAAGTATCTTTTTCATATAATGACTTATTTTCCTCTAGGTAGATACCCAGTAGTAGGATTGCTGGATCAAATGGTAGTTTTACTTTTAGTTCTTTAAGGAATCTCCACACTGTTTTCCATAGTGGTTGTACTAGTTTACATTCCCACCGGCAGTGTACAAGTGTTCTCTGTTCACTGCATCCATGCCAACATCCACTGTTTCTTTTTATTATTATTTTTGATTATGGCCATTCTTGAAGGAGTAAAGTGGTATGGCATTGTGGTTTTAATTTGGGTTTCCCTGATCATTAGTGATGTTGAGCATTTTTTCATGTGTTTGTTGCCCATTTGTGTATCTTTTTTTGAGAATTGTCTATTCATGTCCTTAGCCCACTTTTTGATGGGATTGCTTTTTTTTCTCACTGATTTGTTTGAGTTCTTTGTAGATTCTGGATTTTAGTTCTTTGTCAGATGTATAGATTGTGAAGAGTTTCTCTCATTCTGTGGGTTGTCTGTTTACTCTGCTGACTGTTCCTTTTGCCGTGCAAAAGCTCTTTAGTTTAACTAAGTCCCAACTGTTTATCTTTTTTTTATTGTATTCTCTTTCGGGTTCTTGGTCATGAAATATTTGCCTAGGTCAATGTCTAGAAGGGTTTTCCCAGTGTTATCCTCCAGAATTTTTATAGTTTCAGGTCTTAGATTTAAGTCCTTAATCCATCTTGAGTTGATTTTTGTATAAGGTGAGAGATGAGAATCCAGTTTCATTCTCGTACATGTGGCTTGCCAATTATCCCAGCACCATTTGTTGAAAAGGTTGTACTTTCCCCACTTTATGTTTTTGTTTCCATTGTCGAAGATCAGTTGGCTATAAGTAGTTGGGTTTATTTCTGGGTTCTCCATTCTGTTCCATTGGTCTATAAGCCTATTTTTGTACCAGTACCATTTGTTTTGGAAACTATGGCTTTGTAATACAGTTTGAAATCAGGTAGTGTGACGCTTCCAGATTTGTTATTTTTGCTTAGTCTTCCTTTGGCTATGCAGACTCTTTTTTTGGGTCCGTATGAATTTTAGAATTGTTTTTTCTAATTCTGTGAAGAATGATGGTGGCATTTTGATGGGGATTGCTTTGAATTTGTAGATTGCCTTTGGCAGTATAGTCATTTTTACAATATTAATTCTACCCCTCTATGTGCATGGAATGTATTTCCATTTGTTTATGTTAGCTATGATTTCTTTCAGCAGTGTTTTGTTGTTTTCCTTGTAGAGGTCTTTTGGCTCCTTGGTGAGGTCTATTCATAAATATTTTACTTTTTTTGCAGCTATTGTAAAAGGAGTTGCGTTCTTGATTTGATTCTTCGCTTGGTCATTTTTGGTGTATAGAAGATCTACTGGTTTGCATACTTTAATCTTGTATCCTGAAACCTTGCTGAAGTATTTTATCAGTTCTAGGAGTTTTCTGGAGGAGTCTTTAGGGTTTTCAAGGTAAACGATCATATTGTCAGCAAACAGTGACAGTTTGACTTCCTCTTTTTTTTTTTTTTTGAGACAGAGTCTTGCTCTGTCACCCAGTCTGGAGTGCAGTGGCACCATCTCAGCTCACTGTAAGCTCCGCCTCCCGGGTTCACACCATTCTCCTGCCTCAGCCCCGCCCCCCACCCATCCCCACCAAGCTGGAACTACAGGCGCCCACCACCAAGCCCAGCTAATTTCTTTTTGTATTTTTAGTAGAAATGGGGTTTCACCATGTTAGCCAGGATGATCTCCATCTCCTAACCTCGTGATCCTCCCATCTCGGCCTCCCAAAGTGCTGGGATTACAGGCATGAGCCACCATGCCAGGCCCAGTTTGACTTCCTCTTTACCGATTTGGATGCCCTTTATTTCTTTCTCTTGTCTGATTGCTCTGGCTAGGACCTCCAGTACTATGTTGAAGAGGAGTGGTGAGAATGGGCATCCTTATCTTGTTCCAGTTCTTATAGGAAGTGTTTTCAACTTTTCTTCATTCAGTATTATGTTGGTTGTGGTTTTGTCATAGATGGCTTTTATTACATTGAGGTTTGTCCCTTGTATGCTGATTTTGCTGAGAGATTTAATAAAAAATGGATGCTGGATTTTGTCAAATGCTCTTTCTGTATTTTTTGAGATGATCATATAATTTTTGTTTTTAATTCTGTTTAGGTGGTGTATCACATATATTGACTTGTGTATGTTAAACCATCCCTGCATGCCTGGTATGAAACCCACTTGATCATGGTGGATTATCTTTTTGAAATGTTTTTGTATTCAGTTATGTAGTATTTTGCTAATGATTTTAGCATCAGTACTCATCAAGTTTATCTGTCTGTATTTTTCTTTTTTGGTTATATCTTTTCCTGGTTTTAGTATTAGGATAATACTTGCTTCATAGAATTAATTAAGTAAGTTTCTTCTTTATCTATCTTGTGGAATAGTGTCAAAAGAATTGGTGTCAATTTTGCTTTGAATGTCTGGTAGAATTCTGCTGTGAATCCATCTGGTCCTTGACTTTTTTTTGTTGGTATTTTTAAATTACCATTTCAATCTTGTTGCTTGTTACTGGTCTGTTCAGGGTATCTAATTTTTACTGATTTAAGCTAGGAAGGTCATATTTTTTCCAGGAGTTTAGCCATCTCTTCTAGGTTTTCTAGTTTATGTGCATAAATGTGTTCATAGTAACCTTGAATGATCTTTTGTATTTCGGTGGTGTCAGTGTAGTATCTCCTGTTTCATTTCTTAATGAGGTTATTCGGATTTTCTCTCTTCTTTTCTTGTTGTGGCTAATGGTCTGTCAGTAATATTTATATTTTCAAAGAACCCGCTTTTTGTTTCATTTATCTTTTCTATTTTTTGTTTGTTTGTTTGTTTGTTTCAATTTTATTTAGTTCTGCTCTGATCTTGGTAATTTCCTTTCTTCTGCAGGGTTTGGGTTTGGTTTGTTCTTGTTTCTTTAGTTCCTGGAAGTGTGACTTTAGAATGTCAGTTTGTGTTCTTTCAGTCTTTTTTGATGTAGGTGCTTAGGGCTGTGAACTTTCCTCTTATCACCACCTTTGCTGTATCCCAGAGGCTTTGATAGGTTGTGTCTTTACTGTCATTCAGTTCGGAGAACTTTTAAATTTCCATCTTGATTTCATTTTTGACCCAATGCTCATTTAGAAGCAGGTTATTTAATTTCCATGTATTTGCATGGTTTTGAAGGTTCCTTTTGAAGTTGATTTCCAGTTTTATTCCACCGTGGTCTGAGAGAGTGCTTGATATAATTTCAATTTTCTTAAATTTATTGAGGGTCATTTTATGGCCTATCATATGGTCTATCTTGGAGAAAGTTCCATGTGCTATGTGAATCGAATGTGTATTCTATGGTTATTTGATGAAATGTTCTGTATATAACTGTTAAGTCCATTTGTTCTGAGATATAGTTTAAATCCATCATTTCTTTGTTGACTTTCTATCTCAATGACCTGTCTCATGCTGTCAGTGGAGTATTAAAGTCCCCCACTATTACTGTATTGCTGTCTACTTCATTTCTTAGGTCAATTAGTAATTTTTTTATAAATTTGGGAGCTCCAGTGTCAGGTGCATATATGTTTAGGATAGTGATATTTTGCTGTTGGACAAGGCCTTTTGCCATTATGTAATGTCCTTCTTTGTCTCTTTTAACTACTGTTGCTTTAAAGTTTGTTTTGTGTGATACAAGAATAACCACCCCTGCTAGAGGCAATAAATTACCAAATAGACAAAATTATTCTGCCCAGTGACATCATGAGTTTAAGTCATGATCTAATCCAGAGTCAACCATATGTGTGGATAGATGATAAAGCCAAATTGGCAGTATTGAAGATTATATGTGGGCCCAAGAGCATGGGCTCCCACACAACAGTGCCAATCTAGTTATTGCTACTATCAGTTGTCTGGCCAGTCAGCAACAGAAACCAACAATAAGCATCTGATATGGCACTCATACTAAAGAATACCAAACAACTAATTGATGTCAAGTTGATTATATTGGAGTCTTTCCATCCTGGAAGGGACAGCAGTTCATCTTGATTGGAATTGTTTCTATATTCTAGATATGCAGCTTTTCCTTCTGACAAAGTCTTAACCAACGTCACTGTATAAGTGTTTCTGAGTGTTTGGATCTACAGACACGGAATCTTACATGACACAGCATCAGATCAGAACCTCCCTTGTAGAGCAATGAAAGTGCATCAGAGGACCTACCATATGGGATCCACTGCTTCTATCACATACTTCACCACTCAGAATCTACCAGAAAAATAAAATGGCCCTTTAAAAGAGCAATGAGGCACTAGCTTAAGGATGACACCCTGTAAGAATTGAACACTATCATTCAGGGAGTAACAGACCCCCTAAATCAAATAAGTAACCATTATGTAGTGCAGTGCTGCTTCCAACAGGGAGAATACATGGTTTCAGGAAAGAAGAGGTGTTTGTAGAAATGGCTGTGCTTATGAATAGTGATTGTATAGGGTAGATGTGCTTCCTGTCTGCACAACTCTGGGTTCTGCCAGTCAAGAGACCCGGGTTGGCAAATGTATTAGCAAAAACACTTCTGACAGGTAATAAGGCAAGAGTTTTATCAAACTTTCATTTACAGCTGTTTGGGCTCCTTAGGTCATAAGACCAGCAGTCAAGAAAAGGATGGTGTCACCGTCCATCAATGGTAATTAGTAGGTCTGTGTAATAAAGATCTGTGTAATTGCTGTTAAACAAAGGGGGCAGAAAGAAAATGTTCACACCTTTCTGGCCCAGTCAGATGTGTTTTTGTATTTCATTTCCTAATTTTGTAGATAAGCAGAGGAATGAAAAGGGTATGCTGCATACTCCTGACCCCAGAAAAAAAAGCATGGTTATCAAGTATTCAGATCATCCAGGCATAAGGCTCTGGATCAGTGGTATGTATACTATAGCCAAGTCAGACAGGCTTTCAAGCTGAGAACCATTTCTGTGAATCTCTTCCAAACTCCTGTTCAGTAATATCACACTGGTAGCTTGAAATTAGTGACGATGAAAGTATTTACATTATAGGAATTGGCAAGTGCTAGTAATCAGGATATTTCTATTTACTTATTTATGGAAATTTAGTTTGTCAACACGTCATGGGTCTGGATCAGCTACCAGACGAGCAGAATTAATCAACCTAGAATGGGTTGTAGAGATGGAAGAAGATAAGAATCATTTGCAACCTCTAAACCAGTTGCCCCAATGGGACTGCAATTCCTCCCACTAAGTTGTATTTTTTGTTTTTATAATAAATCAACCAGAATTCTAGAGAAGTTGTTCCCAGAACTTATATGAAGCAAATGGATCCAACCAGCACAAGGTGGTGGATGCACTAATGTAAATACTCTTATTACAGCCAATTTCAAGCTATGAGTAAAATACTACTGAACATGGAGTTGGAACAAGATGTATAAAAATGAGGCTGGGCATGGTGGCTCACATCTGTAATCCCAACACTTTGGGAAGCAGAAGTGGGAGGATCACCTGAGGTCAGGAGTTTGAGACAAGCCTGGCCAACATGGTGAAATCCTGTGTCTACTAAAAATATAAAAATTAGTCAGATGTGGTGGTGCCTGCCTGTGATCCCAGCTACTAGGGAGGCTGAGGCAGGAGAATCGCTTGAACCTGGGAAGCGGAGGTTGCAGTGAGCCACGATCACGCCACTGCACTCCAGCCTGGCTGACAGAGCGAGACTCCGTTTAAAAAAATGAAAAAAAGATTATCAGCCTGAAGACCAGTTGAGTTTGAAGGCTTTGCTCTTCAGAGAGCATACTCTAGGACTGAGATTGGCAGGCAGTACATTGATTAGAGCGTACCCTTAGGATCAATACTTGTGGAAGGGGAAAAGAGCAAGTAGGATTGGGCAAAGAAGTCAAGCCGCTGGGATGCAGGGCTGGACAGTGTGAGTCAGCTCCATGGTGAGCTCTGGAGCTGATGATTTCCATTAGAGTTCTCAGGCACTGGGCCAAAATGGATATGCCATTATACTCTACTTCAATCAGCCACTAGATCGCCCCCCTAGACATTGCAAACTTGACCAAGACAGCTCATTTCAGCTGATACAATCACTGAAAATTCTGATAGATAATAGCTGTCTACTGACTAGATTACCAGTAGTGGGACTGCAAGCACCTTCTTAAAAAGGAGTTTGGGCAGAACATCTCCACAACCGCAGTGTACACTCCTTCTTTAGGACTGTGGCACTCATTACCCCACCTTCTAAAGGGTTGGTATCTGATGGCTGTTACCTGAGAGTCACTTTGAGAATTGCCTCAGCCAAAAAAACCTCCTTTGCAAAAATCTGTGGTCCCTGTCCAGGAGAAGTCCAAATCCAAAGACTGGTTCTGTTAGGGGTAGGGATGGATACAATAACTCAGTGTAGTTGCCTCAAGGGCATCCCATGTGAAGCACTATCACAGCAGCAGGACTCTCTTGAGATCATCTGAGGCCTTTGTGTGACTATGTCATAAATTGTATCTTCCCTCTTCCCATTCTCTCTTCCTTTAGTTCCCCACAAGTGTTGATCTGGAGGGCACACTCCAAGAAACTTCCTCCAAGCAAATCTCCATCTCAGTGTTTGTTTCCTAGGCAACCTGATCTAAGAAGTGATGAAAGTCAAACTAGAAACTATATATCTGTGTAATAAAAGATATGACATAAGTAAGCAACAGTGCCACTGAAGCATAGTAAGATCATTCAACTCTATAGGTTGTGAAGATGCAAAGAGGAGGGGTCAGTGCACCCTCAACAGGTAAGATGATATCATCCGTCTCCCAGATGGCCCAATTAAAATGAAGCTCTTAATCTCTCCAAATTTGAGGACACAATAGTTAAACTTTTTATGCAGATATATGTAACTGAAACCTAATTATGTTAGCTTTAAAAATGTTTTGTTCTCACATATCAATAAATTTTCAGATAGCTATCCAGAGTTGGTATGGTAGATCCATAATGTCACTAGTGACACAGACTTTTTTATCTATCTCAGATCTGCCATTCTTACTGTGTGACTGTTTTCCTCAGGCTCACAGCATAATTGCTGAATGTATAGACAACAGCTTTCTTTCTCCACAGGAAGAATGGGAAAGATCAAGAATGGGAAAAATCAAAGAGCAAATTGCAACATGCAGAAGTCAAATGACTTGTCTGCTTTAAAATGTTCTACTGAACATCTCTCCCACAAAACTTCTGATTCCGTCTTATTGGCCAGAGCCAGTTCCTACAGCACATCTGATTCCAGAGAACATAGGGAGCAGCTAGTCACCTTGTTCCCTCAACCAAATTGAGATTATGTTAGTTAGAAAACAAGAAAAAAGCAGATATTGGGTAGGCAACTAGTAGTATCAACAACAGAAGATTACTATGAAAGGAAAACCAAAATAAACAAAAAGAGTTATTGTTAGTGTAGATTACTTATGGCCTAGTAATTGTGAGACCTTATAATTCTCACCAGGTTTTTCTATCTTAGCAAATAAAATGTTATTTTGACTACATAATACAAAAGCAGCCCTGGTTTCCAAATAACATAAAATGTATCTCTTAGTGTCTAGGAGAACTCACTAAAATAGGGTGGGGCATGGTAACATGTTTTATGCAGAATCAGTTACATATGTAAAATAGAGAAACTTAAACTGATCATGTGGAAGCAATTTTTTCTTTTCTGTATCATATTGATTTAAACTGCAAAAAGTAAATATCAAGAAAGAATCCAACTTACTGCAAATGCTGTTTAAGCAAAAGCTTTTTATTGAACTCACAGACCAAATTCAAGGAGTGCATTATTCACACTATGTCTTACATACACAGAATCCCAAAATGATTTATAAAGTTAAATAATACAATTACACAGTTAAATAACCACAAAGGGAGAAGAAAATTAAGAGAGCTTTAGGCAAGAGAAGAGACTTTCAAGAACTATATGAAAAGAAGAAAAGATAGCATCAATGAGGCAGAGAAATGTAAGAAGTTTCTTCCAGATGCCAAGAGCAATAAAGAAAAAGGCTTTTGATCCTATCTCACTGAAAAGCACCATGGAAGGAAGAAACAATTAGTGTCAGAAAACTGAAGGAATGAGACGGAATAGAGATAGATATTCCTTGAAATACATTTCCCAGCTACAAGCAGACGTAAACTTTAAAAGGAGTTGGGTATAAAAGGATCTCGAGATTTTTTTATTCAATGGCATAATAAAATATGTACATGATTCCAAAATTCCCATGGAACTATACACAGTCCTCAAAGCAGAAAATATGAAAACATACCTGTTTCATACACATAAGTAGGCCAGCAATAGGGTTATAAGTGAGCTCTTTTCCTCCACCTCATCTGTCCTTATATCACAATATTTGAGGTATTAGAAATAAAGATGTTATATAAACCTTCTTTTTAATGATAAAGGTAGTACACACATTGGACATCAACCCTGCTCCAGTGAGAAATGCAATACGTGTGGTTTATAGCTTTGCTCCAGCTTTTTGTTCAACAGCCCTATCTCCCATACCAATTCTGTCCACTCATACTTCTTTACTTGGACCTTTTAGCAAGAGCCTATAATTATAGCTTATGTCCCAATTATGTTCCTTTCAGTGGGACTCTGAGGTATAACAAACACAGTACTAGATTTAGAGATTAAAGGAGGGATTTAGTAAATTTGCTCCACCATTCTAGTGTAGTGTGTATTCATCAATGTGCCCTTAATGGTTTCTTTTGTTTGTTTTGTTTTGTTTTTGAGGCAGTCTCACTCTGTCACCAAGGCTGGAGTGCAGTGGTGTGATCTCGGCTCACTGCAACCTCTGCCTCCTGAGTTCAAGAATTCTCTGCCTCAGCCTCCCAAGTAGCTGGGATTACAGGCGCCCACTACCATACCCGACTAATTTTTGTATTTTTAGTAGAGATGGGGTTTTACCATCTTGGCCAGGCTGGTCTTGAACTCCTGACCTCGTGATGCGCCTGGCTTGGACTTCCAAAGTGCTGGGATACAGGCGTGAGCTACCATGCCTGGCCAGCCCCTTAACTTTTGTGAGCCTCATTGTCCCCATCTATGAGAGAAGATACTTGTTAAAGGGCCACTGAGATAGAAACAAATCAAATGAACTTGATTACAGAAAGAGACAAACAAGATATCTTTAAACAGAGGGAAAGATGGAGTCAGCTTAAGACAAGAAATAGCAGACACTTATTCCAATAGTATCAACAGAATATGTAAAACATATGTGAGTGCTTTGTGAATTTTAAATACATGCATCTAAACTAGTCAGCTCAGGGAAGTCAATACTAGAGGTAGTAGAATAAATTGTGAAGACTCTCTTTGCAGTGGGAAAGTCGCTCTGGCTATCTCTTCAACACTAACTGTACAATCCAGTTTTGTTCCTAGAAATGCTCTTTAATATAGTTGCCTTCTGGAAATGTAATATTGCATTATCCTATTGTACCCAAGCAATTATCTGTATTCATAATCCTTCCTCCTTAGTGGGTATTCTGAAAGTGTAATCGCCCTTTATTGATCTTTATACTGGGTGATATGGTTTGGTTGTGTCCCCAGCCAAATCTCATCTTGAATTCCCACGTGTTGTGGGAGGGACGCGGTGGGAGGTAGTTGAATCATGGGGCGGGTCTTTCCCATGCTGTTCTCATGACGGTGAGTGAGTCTCATGAGATCTGATAGTTCTATGAGAGGAGTTTCCCTGCACAGGCTCTCTCTTTGCCTGCTGCCATCCACGTAGGAAGTGGGTTCCTCCTCTTTGCCTTCCGCCATGATTGTGAGGCTTCCCTGGCCATGTGGAGCTGTAAGTCCAATTAAACCTCCTTCTTTTGTAGATCGCCCAGTCTTGGGTATGTCTTTATCAACAGCATGAAGACAGACTAATTCACTGGGATATATAACTAATGTAAAACTCTAGAATGATAGACAAAATTATATATAATAGATACTAAAATAATGGTATTTGGATCTTTGAAACGCTGTCCTATGTGCTCCATTTGCCGTGGAAGGTGGACCTCATTAGTAGATGTTTTGCCCTGTACTGCACTGCTTGATAAAAACAATTTCAAAAGGAGAGGGGCTAAGTTAAATTGCATGGCAAGTACATACAAAAATGTAATAGAACCCACAATTAAGAGGGAGAAGTGGGAAGAGACAGGAGAACCAGCAGAAGCTGAAAGGGGGAAAACACTGGGTAACGGGAATTGACAGACACTTGAGGAGTAGCTTTAGTGAAGTAGCTTTACTGAAGTTTAGCAAGTCATATGAGGGGATAGAAATTAGAACATTTTTGCTAGGTGTCATGCAAGGCAGGCATTTCCCTATTTTTCCTCTTTTATAGATATACTTTTCCTTTTGAGCCTTTTTATTTTTAATGTTTAATTTATGTTTTATTTTGTACATGACACTCTGCTAAGACAAGGCCATGCGGCAATGTTAAGTGAGGTAAACATGTGTGTGTGTATATATATATATATATATATATATATATATATATATATATGGAGAAATTACTATTTATTTTAACATATATACATATAAATACACATACACAATTTGGCAGTGGTGGAAGGTTATAACTTTGAGGAAAGAAAAACTGACTTGCATTTGAAACAACAACTCTCAGGGTACTATATATCTTCATTCCACTGAGATGTGTTATAATCTCCAGTCATAGTTCAGCACTTACAGTCTAGGGCTGCCACAGTAGTATTCTTAGTGAAAAGAAATAGTTAAATGGAACAAATAATGCCTACAGCAAAATAAATATAGCAAATCATTTTTCAAAATCAGCTCCTATGATAATATCCTAAAACTTGCCTTTAAGCCTTTAATCTTATTATTTTTTTCTTTCTTTTTTTTCTTTTAAGAGGGGAGTATTCATACGGGAAGTTTTCCCTTTTACATCTCTCTGGCTACCAATTTGACTCTTCATGTGAA
Organism: Homo sapiens; assembly: GCF_000001405.40. Taxonomy (NCBI): domain Eukaryota; kingdom Metazoa; phylum Chordata; class Mammalia; order Primates; family Hominidae; genus Homo; species Homo sapiens. Next base: position 104,939,164 of record NC_000003.12, read on the forward strand.
AAGCTCCTGAGGTCCCAAATGTACCATTTTCAATAAATTATACTCCAAATCTCATAATTTAAGTCACTTTAGATTCATTTCTTTCACCTCAGTTTGTTGTTTTCTTTGGCTTCCATATGATATTTTTCTAAAGTCATCCTCGAACAGTCTGTTTATTAAAAATGTTACAGTGAGAACTAGATAGTGATGGATATAAACAGCCAGAAGGAGTCACTATCACTGAAAATTGCTTTAATCAGTTCAGTTAAGTGAAAACATATGTTGATAAGAGTCATATTTCTCAGTAAAGCATATTCTTGTGGCTTAATTTGTTCTACAAGTCCAACCTCTTCCTCCCATTGTTTCTCTCTAAACACAATATTACTTTCTCTGTTTAATTATCTTAACAGCAGCCCTGTAAATAAATGCAATAGCTTAATTGTACTTCTTTGTGAGCTATCTGTTTCAGTGTGGTTCTAAATGATTACCTTTTTCAATTATTTTTGTGAAGCTGCTGCTCATAAAAATAAGATAAAAGCCAGTGACTGAAGCAGAGAAGTGAAGGGTACATTAAGAAAAACATAGAATTGCACTGTAAGAGGAATGGAAAGAACTTTAGATACCAGCTCATCTTCCCTGCCAAATAATCAACCTAATCAAAGGCTGAGACCCAGGTAAATATGTCTTGCCAAAGCATTCATTGATTAGAAGAACTCTAAATACCAGAGTGTTGGATGCTGTGGTGTACTACCCAGATCTGGCTTCCATGACTGAAATATTCATTCGTCCATTTGCTGGGAGTGTTCACTGCTGAAAGGTCACAACTGAGACCTCTCCAGTCATTGCCCTTAAAGTAAGATTGTTGACTCAATCAGAATTGCACTCCTTCTCTGGAGCATTTCACATCGAATTACTGAAACACGTAGATGCTTGAGCATCTTATCTCAATGAGATGTCTCTGAATATTCCTTCAAGCTCGAGAACTCCCCATGATGTGGGCCTTTTTTGAAATTACATCACAGTTCAGCTTTTGTCTCTACACAATCCTACTTCTTTTCTCATTCCCCTAAAAAACTGTTTCCAAGAGCACTTTCTAATAAATACTCTCTACACAGATTCCCACTTTAAAGTTTGTTTCCCAGAGAATCAATTCTATAGCTCACAGTTGGATCAATGTAAAAGTTGTCTAATTGCAACTTTAGAAACTTATGGATATTTTAGTATCTGTTTTAATCAAGTTTTAAAGATAAGGAGATTAATAAAATGATAATCTGAGGAATTTGCATCCTAGACACTTATTTCTTAGAAGTAAATTAAGAATTATAGGGTTTTAATTGTTAAAAGTAAGAAAAAGATTAATTTCAGAATCCAATCACTTAAGCAAATATTTATTGTGTCTCCACTAAATGCCCCCCATAATGCAAACTGCAAAAATGTTAAGCCAAATATGGCACAGGCTTTGCATTCAAGAAACGGATATTAAAACAACTATTTGCAATCAAGTGTGGCAATAAAGTGATAGAAGTATGTATCAGATTAGGCCGGGTGAAGTGGCTCACACCTGTAATTTCAGCACTTTGGGAGGCCAAACTGGGTGGATCATGAGGTCAGGAGATAGAGACCATCCTGACCAACATGGTGAAACCGCATCTCTACTAAAAATACCGAAAAAAAAAATTAGCTGGGCATGGTGGCACGCACTTGTAATCCCAGCCACTCAGGAGGCTGAGACAGGAGGATCACTTGAATCAGGGAGTTGGAGGTTGCAGTGAGCCGGCCACTGCACTCCAGCCTGGTGACAGAGCAAGACTCTGTCTCAAAAAAAAAAAAAAGAAAAAAAGAAAAGAAAGAAAGAAAAAAGAAAACGAAATTGAACATCACTATGTTGTAAACCATGGATAAAGGAAATGGCTTATAATTGGAAGGAAACTAAATTCTAAGACATTCAAATTTATGTTTAAATTTTTTAAAAAATTGGTATTCTTACATTCTAACTTTTGAAATGTATGGAAAAGTGAACAGATTCTATAAGAGATAAAATAACGTGCCCCAAAATAAATAACTTGCCCAGGTGAGGGGAAAATCAAAGATGACATTTCGGGTCACATAGGACATTCAGTATTTAAATTTAGTGTGTTTTTCCCAATATTAACGCATAAGAAACCTACTACAATTCTACATTTTAGAAAGTCAGAACACACACTGTTAACTTGATTGGTAACACAATAGCCAGTTTTAGTTATTTCTTTTCATTCCATTTTAATTGAATTTTAAAGGAATCCTCCACTAAGGCATTCAACTCCAGCTTTTTGCAAAAGCTTATTAACTTGTTATCCTGTTCCTAGTCTCCCTTCTCTTCAATACTTCCTCCTTACCATTTCCCGAATGATCACTCTAAAACACAGGTAATATATTATTACGGAAAATACGTTCCTTTCTTTGTACTGCGGAGAATACTTATAGTCCAGCCACTCTTTTGCAGTCTCCAAAATGGAACTATGTAATTCAACTTTTATAGATTTGTCCCTAAATTGTGTCTCTTGTCAAAATTGACAAGAACAGTAGCCTGAACAGGAGCTCTCAGTAGTTCTTCTCTGACCACAGAGATATTTGTTCCTGAAGTTCTGGGAATTAGTTCTTCAGAGAGAAGCCATTTTGAGGGCTGGCTTCAAATCCTTTTTGGTAAAAGTAGAATATAAATAGATCGGATTCAATATTTCTGAGGTTTTAGGCTTCTTGCTTCTTATCTCCAACAATTCTGGTTACTTAGAGACACTGAGACCAAATGTTCAAAAGCTCTCAAGTTGCAGACTCTCAAAAGACATGTGGAGGAGGCAGGTGGATGCAGGCCAGCTGTGAGCTCTGTCCTTAGACCTCACAATGGAAAGGGCAGCAGGAAATGAAAGGAGATGATGATATGTGCTCAAACCCACTCTTCAGAGTCCACATGTTAAAAACTAAAGTGCTGGCATCATAAATTCACTGTAACAAATATAAAAAGTATTGGAGAAATTTGTGATGAAGATAAGAAGAGGAGAGCAAAGGACAATTAGCAAGAAAAAAATTATGTATTAGCAATGATATAGTAGAGGTAGTCATACTGAAGAGCTACTAATCCTTCTATTTAAAAATTCAAGATTGATAATATTTGCACGATTTTATTGCAGAACTTAAGTATACAGAAAACTCTATAAGAGAGTTTACAGCAGTATTTTCTGATTGATCAACAATTTTGAAATTGTTATGCTTGACTTACATATAAAATCCATCATTGCCTTTAAATAATAGAGTCATGTTCAGAAACTCATTGAAGGAGAGTTACGAGTTACTCTCTCTTTTATGAATATAAGAGATATATCTATGCTAAGTGAATTACCCCATATCTCAGAGCAAGCAGAAAATCTCAAGGAGTCTATTAAAAATTTTATAACTCATAAAACTGTTGCAAATAATTAAATCTGTGAAAATATTAACAAGTTAAATATTCAATATTGGACATATTTTAATTATAACATTTAAGCATTTATAATTACAGTTTAAGTATAACATAAGAATTTAGGCTGGGTGCAGTGGCTCACGCCTGTAATCCCAGCACTTTGAGAGACCGAGGTGGGTGGATCACTTGAGGTCAGGAGTTCAAGACCAGCCTGGCCAACATGATGAAACCCTGTCTGAAAATACAAAAAATAGCTGGGTGTGGTGTTGCACACCTGTAATCCCAGCTACTCGGGAGGCTGAGGCAGGAGAATCACTTGAAGCTGGGACGTGGAGTTTGCAGTGAGCTGAGATAGCACCGCTGCACTCTCCAGCCTGGGCGACAGCGTGAGACTCTGTCAAAAAAAAAAAAAAAAAAAAAAAGAGAGAGAGAATTTATTTTTTGTAGAGTTCTGGTTGAAAGCTACTCTTAGTGACTTAAAGAAAGATGTGAAGTAAATGTTTATATAGAAAAGTATGTTGATGTATCTGATTTCTTTCATTACTACATCAGAATATCTAGTAATGAAGTTTGTGTTTGCTTATTTTTTCTTCTACATTAGAACAGTCTTAAAACATTATTTTAAATAAGAGATCATGTAAAACAGGCACGAAAAGCATATTTTTCTTACCAACAAAATTTTTATGAAAATAAGACTATCTTTAAAATATTTGATTAAAAACATAAATGTATTATCAAAATCTTAGAAAAGCAAGTCTATGGAGAGACTTGAAAGGAATTTAAGTTTGGGGAAGGAGGGAACTATGATCAAACCCAGCAGCATTTTTAGATTATCTATTTGGAAGTAGTATTTGGTTTTGAATTGGAGGTATGTAGTCTCAATAAAGGTTTTCCTAGTGGCTTTTGAGGTCTTCCAACTCCATTAGGAAGTTGGTGATTTCATAATTTTTTCAACAATAATACTATGTTTACTGATGGTGCAAAACAATGATGGGTAAAAGAGTTGACAGCTTGTCATGAACAAGAAAGTGGCAATAAACTGTACCAGTAGTCATTATGTTTTTCATTGCCACACACTCATGAAAAACAAAAAGCTAATATCATTAATAATGACCTTGATGAATTGGGGAAATTATTACTTATATTAAATCCAAACCCTTGAGTAATATATTGTTTTAATATTCTGTGTGACAAAATGGTTAGTAGACATTTTAAAGCCTGTCTGCTGCATTCCTAAGTATAACATTTTTGTTTTGAGTCACAAGTTAAACTAGTTGCTTTTTCTCAGGGAGCAGAATTTTTACCTGAAAGAAGGACTTAGAAACAAAATAGCAATTTAATAGACATGGTCACAAAAAGGAAGGAAGTGATTCTACCATGATAGCAAGTATTTGAAGCTAATGATGAAAATCTAACTTTTAAGATAATATGAGCATTTTATAGAATTTGTGTTGACCACCCTGAGTTTGACAGCTCCTCAAAACTTAAAGACTTCCAGATAAGATCAATAGTGACATTAACAAAGATTGTTAATATTGCATCATGAAGTGAGTCAACGTTTGTAAGATCTACATGACCCTATTGACCAATATTTCCCAAATGACTACTTCATGATCCTACAAAACCATACTTAGGTAAAACAACTCTTCAGAATAGGCAATAGACTTAGGGTGAGCTTTATGAGACTGTATTTTGTAAAGTTACTGTAATGTTGAATTTTAAAAAGTACAATTTTTAATATACAGTAGAATTTTACTGTGCCTGTTATCAACTTATTTCCTCTCAGTTCCAAATCCACCCTTCAATACATGCTTTGTCATCATAGACAGAATTCCTTTAAGCATCTCTTTTCAATTTTGATCATAACATTAAGCTTTCTTAGTAGAGGGGGCTAGGGTCACATTGCAGGAAGAAGGGACCCTCCTCCTCTTCCCAGCTCCTGCAGAGTGGGTCAATGGTGTGGGGGGTGAGAACTTCCTATTGAGCCCTGACACAGTCAGTCCCCAGAACAAATAGTCTCTCAGCAACCTTACAGAGGCTGACCGAGCAATGACCTTCCAAGGCCCTCTAGACACAAAAACCTCTGGCTAAAGCTGTCCTGCCCCTATCAGTACTTTGATTATTTTACAAGACGCCTAGTAACTGGCCATCACAGGGCTGAGGTTTTATCACTGGGCCTCCACTGCCTCTGCAGGCACTACCACTCACCTTCGCCTGGGAACCCCTACCTTCTTTTACTCCCACACCATCAGTTGCTGATTGGCTTGCTCTGTCTTCCAAAGGTTTTGTTCTGCTTGCCCAGGTACGACAGACAAGCTTCAGCCTGGGAAAACTGGCAAACTCTACTACTCAATGGGTTAAACTGCAATTTTTCCAACTGTGTCTAGAACCCAGCCTTGAGAAAGAGCTTCCTTCTCTTTCTGTCTTCCTTGAGTACTCTCATACAGTCCTAGGGTATAACATACAGCTTTTTTCCATCCTGTAGTTACTTTTTTTTTTTTTTTTTTTTTTTTTTTTTGCGATGGAATCTTGTTCTGTCGCCCAGGCTGGAGTGCAGTGGTGCGATCTCGGCTCACTGCAAGCTCCACCTCCCGGGTTCACGCCATTCTCCTGCCTCAGCCTCCCGAGTAGCTGGGACCACAGGCACCCGCCATTCTCCTGCCTCAGCCTCCCGAGTAGCTGGGACCACAGGCACCCGCCACCACTCCCAGCTAATTTATTGTATTTTTAGTAGAGACAGGGTTTTACCGTGTTAGCCAGGATGGTCTCGATCTGCTGACCTCATGATCCGCCTGCCTCAGCCTCACAAAGTGCTGCGATTACAGGCGTGAACCACCGCGCCCGGCCTGTAGTTACTCTTTTATCATAGCTTAACCATTAGTACTTCTGTTTAAATCTAAACCATATGGTTTCTCTTCCGATTAGATGCAGATGAATACATATAATTGTGTCTTGGCATATAGACGTATAAGCAGATGTCTGCTTGGTATATAAACATATAAGCACATGTCTGCATGACACTGTAAAAGAAAAGCAGAGTACCCACAATCATGCAACCTAAATGTCCACATGTTCTGTCATGTGTTTATAGGGAGAAATTTTCAGTTCTTGTTAACATCTTAGAACATACATAAAGGCAGCAATGGACCTCATTGAAATTGCGGACCACAAAACAAATTTGGAGACTGTAAATAGTGTGATCAGTATGAGATAGGGATTGATCTGGCTGTAGGGATGTACCCCAAAGTGCATAGAACTGTGCCTGGTACACATAATAAAGGAGGGAAGGAAGGGAGGGAGGGAGGGAGACCATCACATATATGGAAAAGAGTCTAAAGTGACAGAGTGGTGTTTAATTAATCAGAGTTCCAAATTGATCACCAGTTGTTACTGTTGTTGTTGTCTTCCAAATTCCAGCTCTATTATTTATTGAATGCATGAATGTGGACTTTTTTTGTAAGTTCAAGGGTACATGTGCAGGTTTGTTATATAGGAAGGCTCCTGTCACTGGGGTTTTTTAGGCGGATTGTTTCGTCACCCAGATATTAAGCTGTAACCGTTAGTTATTTTTCCTGATCCTCTCCCTCTTCCCACCCTCCACCTTCCAGTAGGTGCCAGTGTGTGTTGTTCCCCTCTATGCATTCATGTGTTCTCATCATTTAGTCCCCACCTGTAAGTGAGAACATGAGGCATTTGGTTTTCTGTTCCTGCTTTAGTTTGATAAAGATAATGGCCTCCAGTTCCATCCACGTTCCCTTAAAAGACATGATCTCATTCTTTTTTATGGCTGCATAGTATTCTATGCTGTATATGTACCACATTTTCTTTATCTAGTCTAGCATTGATAGATATTTAGGCTGATTCCATGTCATTGCTATTGTGAATAGTGCTGTGGTAAACATATGCATGTATGTGTCTTTATGATAGAATGATTTATATTCCTTTGAGCATATACACAGTAAGGGGTTTGCTGGTTGAATGGTAATTCCAGTTTTAGTTCTTTGAGGAATCACCACACTGCCTTCCACAATGGTTGAAATGAGTGTTCACAACCTCCTGCAGTGTGTAAGTGTTACCTTCTCTCTGCAACCTCACCAGCATCTGTTATTCTTTGATTTTTTAATAATAGCCATTCTGACTGGTGTGAGATGATATCTTATTGTGGTTTTGATTTGCATTTCTCTAATGATCAGTAATGTTGAGCATTTTTTCATATGATTGTTGGCAACATGTTCGTCTTCTTTTGAAAACTATCTATTCATGTCTTTTCCCCACATTTTTTTTTTTTTTTTTTTTTTGAGACAGAGTCTCGCTCTGTCACCCAGGCTGGAGTGCAATGGTGCAATCTCGGCTCACTGCAACTTTCACCTTCTGGGCTCAAGCGATTCTCCTGCCTCAGTCTCCCGAGTAGCTGGGATTACAGGTACATGCTGCTGTGCCTAGATAATTTTTGTATTTTTAGTAAAGATGGGATTTCACCATGTTACCCAGGCTGGTCTTGAACTCCTGACCCAGGTGATCCACTTGCCTCGGCCTCCCAAAGTGCTGGGATTACAGGCATGAGCCACCACGCCTGGCCCTTTGCCCACTTTTTAATGGAGTTTTTTTTCCTTGTAAATTTGTTGAAGATCTTTATAGATGCTGGATAGTACACCTTTGTCAGATACATAGTTTGCAAAAATGTTCTCCCATTTTATAGGTTGTCTATTTGTTGATAGATTTTTGCTGTGCAGAAGATCTTTAGTTTAATTAAGTTTGTCAATATTTGCTTTTCTTGCAATTACTTTTGGCACCTTCATCATGAAATCTTTGCCCATTCATATGTCAGAATGGTATTGCCTAGGTTGTCTTCCAGAGTTTTTATAGTTTTTGGTTTTACATTTAAGTCTTTAATCCATCTTGAGTTGTTTTTTTTTATACAGTGTAAGAAAGGGGTCCAGTTTCAATCTTCTGCATATGGCTAGCCAGTTATGCCAGCATCATTTCTTGAATAATGAGTCCTTTCCTCATTGCTTGTTTTTGTCAGCTTTGCTAAACATCAGATGGCTGTAGGTGTGCAGCCTTATTTTTGGGCTCTCAATTCTGTTCCATTGGTCTATGTGTCTGGTTTTAAAACAGTACCATGCTGCTTTGGTTATTGTAGCAGTGGCTTTGGTTATTGTAGGCGTGTAGTATCCTTTGAAATTGGGTAACATAATGCCTCCAGCTTTGTTCTTTTTGTTTAGGATTGCTTTGGCTATTCAGGCTCTTTTTTGGTTCCATATGAATTTTAAAATAGTTTTTTTTTTCTAGTTCTGTAAAGAATGTCATTGGTAGTTTGGTAGGCATAGCACTGAATCCATAAATTGCTTTGCACAATATGGCCATTTTAATAATATTGATTCTTTCTGTCCATGAGCACGGAATATTTTTCAACTTGTTTGTGTCATCTCTGATTTCTTTGAGCAGTGTTTTGTATTTCTCATTGTAGAGATATTTCACTTCCCTGGTTAGCTGTATTCCCGGGTATTTTTTTCTTGGGGATTGTGTTCCTGATTTGGCTGTCTGACTGACTGTTGTTGGTTTCTAGGAATGCTAGTGATTTTTGTACGTTGATTTTGTATCTTGAGACTTTGCTAAATTTGTTTATCAGCTTAAATAACTTTTGGGCAGAGACTTTGAGGTTTTCTACATACAGGATCATGTTATCTTCAAACACAAATAGTTGACTTTCTCTCTTCCTATTTGGATGCCTGTTGCTTCTTTCTCTTGCCTGACTGTTCTGACCAGGACTTCCAATGCTAGGTTGAATAGGAGTGATGAGAGAGGGCATTCTTGTCTTTCACCAGTCTTCAAGGGGAATGCTTCCAGCTTTTGCCCATTCTATATGATGTTGGTTGTGGGTTTGTTATAGATGGCTCTTATTCATTTGAGGTATGTTCCTTCAATACCTAGTTTATTGAGAGTATTTAACATGAAGTGGTGTTGAAGTCTACCAAAAGTCTTTTCTGCATCTATTGAGATAATCAGGTGTTTTTTTGTCTTCAGTTCTGTTTATGTGATGAATTATATACATTGATTTGTGTATGTTTAACCAACCTTGCCTCCCGGGGATAAAGCCTACTTGAACAATGTTGATATGCCTTTTGATGTGCTGCTGGATTCCATTATAAAATAATTCAGGCAAAGGTTATACAATGGTATAAATGGTAAAAATGATATACTCTGCTCTTTTAATGTCCGACTACAAAGTCAAATAGCACTTCCCTTGAAAATAAATGCATTGATTTTTCTCAAGTATTCCATTCCCCTACATCACTGAAAGAACTGGATGTTAATAGGGAGGTCATGTTTATGTGTGTGAGAGTGGGAGGGACAGACATGTAACTTAATGAGTATGCTTTTGAAAGCTAAATATGTACAAGCTGCATGGGCACTTATTAAAATATCATAGAGACCATATAAAGACCAGATGTGATGACAGTACAAGGGAAAACAAAAAGGGATCCAAAAGTTCCTTTAAGTTTGTAAAAATTTGTTAGAGGGTTTCAGAAATAAAGTATACTGAATATCAAAACAAAGAGGTGTACCTAATTTTTGTAATATAACGAAAACTTTGACACAACAGAATATGAAAAATGATAAACCATCTCAAAGAGAGATAAAGGAAAGTGATCCCATTGCTTCAAATTAGCTTAGGTTATTTCTACTTGTTTCAGAATCTGTGCTTCCAAGGAATACTACATATCCAGATGTATCTATTATTTGAAGGAGGAAATGCACTCAAATGTGGACCGATTGAAATAATATGTAGAAGCAGTCTTTAAATAGTAAGACAGACAATCACTAAGTATTCAGAATGTGTTGCAGTTGAAGTTTAAAAGAAAGTGTCAAGGCATCCCAAGAGAGCAACTAAAGCACCTCATGAAGCAGAGGAAGAAGAAGAAGAGGAGAATGAAGAGAAGGAATAAGATGATAGTAAATAAAGTCATTTCAAATAAAATTAGCACCAATCTTTTTTTATGTGAATAACTTAGAATAAGAGAAACACCAGAGATAAAATACTTTAGTTTTGAGATGTTTTCTATTGGTCTCATTAAACATAATTTCAAAGTTGAATTATGATGCATTATATTTCAGATCATGTGAGTAGAGAACACAATACAGCCATGCTTTCCGAACATTTTATATAGTGTTCTAAACATTAAAAAAATCAAGGGATGTTCTTTTTTCATTCTGTACTAGTTCTTTTTCACGCTGCTAATGAAGACATACTTGAGACTGTATAATTTATAAAGAAAAGATGTTTAATTGAATCACAGTTCAGCATGGCTGGGGAGGCCTCAGGAAACTTACAAGCATGGCAGAAGGGGAAGCAAACACGTCCTTCTTCACATGGCAAAAAGGAGAAGTGCCTAGCAAGAGGCGGAAGCCCCTTATAAAACCATCAGATTTCAGGAGAACTCACTCACTATCATGAGAGCAGCAGCATAGGGGTAACCACCACCATGATTCAATTATCTCCAAGTGGTCCTTCCCACAACACTTGGGGACTGTGGGAACTACAATTCAAGATGAGATTTGGGTGGGGACACAGCCAAACCATATCACATTCTGTGCAGTTTCCTCTTGCTAAACACGGAATTTAAAATGTTTTGCATTTTAATGTTTCTTAGAAATCCAGGACAGTAAATTCCCTCACACGATTTTTAACAGCTAAAAAAATTCTTGGAAACATACTTAGAATTTCAATAAATTAAAAAGGGGAAATTGCCTTGATGTTTATAGCTTTCATAGAGTAACTTTGCCCTTTGAACAAATTAGGTGTAATTATGCCACAGTGATCATTCATTAAGTTTAGAGTCATTATTCTGTATACAGAAAATTTCAATTTTATTTTCATTCTTAGTTTTAAAAAAGGGTTCATCGAGCACAATAATTTACTTGATTTATTTAGTTAAGTGCAGTAATTTTTAAATTAAAATTATAGATCTACTTTAGAAAATGAAGATCCAATTCAGCCATTAGAATTCCAGAGAAAAATTTGTATTTAAAACAATACCTAAGCTGGGTGTGGTGGCTCACACCTGTAATCCCAGCAGCTTGGGAGGCCAAGACAGGCAGATCACCTGAGGTCAGGAGATTGAGACCAGCCTGGCCAACATGGTGAAACCTTGTTTCTACTAAAAATAAAAATAAAAAATAGACATCTGTGGTGGTACACACTTGTAATCCCAGCTACTCGGGAGGCTGAGGCAAGAGAATTGCTTGAACCCAGGTGACAGAGGTCACAGTGAGCCGAGATCCTGCCACTGCAGTCCAGCCTGGGTCCAGAGCGAGACTCCATCTCAGTAAATAAATAAATAAATAAATAAATCCCTATAATGCTAATTTTTGTACATGAAGAATGCTGAAATATTTTTGAAGGTTAAAGATTAGAGTTGCGTTAAAAATACCAATGTGTTTTTATGCCAATACAAGAGCCTAAAAGATAAGGTCAAGAAGAATGTTGTTGAAATTCTTAAGATATAAAAGGTAAATGTGTATGAAAATTGTTTGGTTACAGTAGTGGAATTATGGGTGATTTGTCTATACTTACTTTTTTTTTCTAAGCTTCTTATTATAATAAAATGTTTTTGAAATGTAAAGAAAACACATTTTTTAAAAAAAGTCATATGTTTTAACTCTTTGTGAGTAGCTCTAAGCTTAAGACCTAAAGGTTAATTTAGACCACAGGTGTAGTAATAGCCCAGAATACTTTAGGAAATTCAAGCATCAGGTTAGTGGTTGGATGAGATTATCTTTGTGATAGATTTTACCTAGAAAATACGATTTTTGTTTCATACTCAAGAAACAAAGTAATGTTCTTTCCTTTTTCCAGCATATGTATATCTTGTTCTCTTTTCTCTAAAGTATCATTATAAAACATATGCTCTTTGACACTACAGCTTAGAATACCTTTTCTTTCTATTTCTGAAAGATTGTGAAAGAGGCATTCCAAACCACCACCCACATTGGAGTGTTGAAAGTAGTTCGTATGTACCGAATAAACCCAGCAGGACAGAAACAAGATCCTGTACTCAATATGTATCTTTGAACATTTCTGACAAGTAGAAAGAAACTCAAATACCAGCAGAATATTTCCATAAACTAGCTACATACAAACATTTCTACTTAAGAACAAAGCTACCCCCCTTGTTAAAGGTATCCTTGTGCCAGTTACTTTGTTGAACCTCAATTGGTTCTAAAGAAAATATTATCTCTGTAATTCTATCCACTTATTGGATTCTTAAATGCTTTGTCTTCTAGGAGTCAGTTGTTAAAATTATCGGTCTTTCCAGAGTATAATTTTTGTAATCATTTCCTGGGTCAGAAAACAAGCAAACAAACAAACAAACTCCTTTTTCTTATTTGTACCGTTTATTTTTCACTGCCTCTCAGAAGTGGTCACAACAGCGAGGCCTGTTGGTCCCATCACGCCATCAGTTTAATCATTGCTTCTTACTTGTAGAGTGTAAACATCTATATTTCACACGTACCTTCTACATAAGTTATAATAATACCCATAGGGGAGCTGCATAGTTTCAATTATTAATAATAATGTTCTAAGGGAGAAGGAATTTATTTTTGAAGTTAGATTATTTATGTTCTCAGTTGCTACCCACACATTTTGGGAGGTTGGGTTTTGGAGGCATGTTCCCCCAACCCTTGGGAAAAAAAAAAAAACCCTTATTTGTGGAACTAAGATTGTCCAAAATGTAGAGCTCAGCAGTTTCAGAAGTCATATTTAATACTCATAATTTAAAGATGAAAAAGCATGTATCTCCCCACAAAACAATGGAATCTTCTTGCCAACACATATTTCATCAGATATGAATGTGTTTTTAACACAGTAATCCTTATCAAAACCACATTGACTTAATTGTCAGTTATTATTCTGTCCACCTCTGCTTTCCTCCTCTTTTATCATTAGCACTTTTTTGAAAAAGTAGATAGTTTATAACTGGTGTTCTCCATTTGCTATGCACTTTTAAACTAACAAAACAAACAGTGAGTTCCTGGAACAGGTCCTGTCACCACTACTGACCTCAGGCCAAGCCCAGGGAATGTTCTCCTCAGTGAGGAAGCAGCCACTCCTTCCCCTGGGAAATGCCAAGCCAAGGGTATGAATAAACTAAGGGAACTTCAGTCTGCTGAGACAACAAATACTAGTGAATCATTTATTTCATGGCTGGTTCTTTTCCATCTCCCACTCTGTCTTCCATATAAAATAAGAAAGTCATTGTGGTTTCACAGATCTAAATCTACAGTAACAAAGATAGATATTATGACCAAGGATAGTTGATCCAAAAATAACTGAGAAGAATCAGATGACTTGTCAAGTAGTGCAAGAATGTGGTAGTTCCGTGCACGAGATCCATGAAGTGATATAGCTTTTGGACTCTAGACACAAAGTGCATCCTTTACAAAGATGTTGATATCTGAAAGAGGGACTCATGCAATGTCTGTCTAGCAAGAAAAAGTGTTCTTTCATTATAAACGTTAACTTGGACATGGCTTGCAAGGACAAAAGAGAGGTATCAAATTATGTAAGATGAGAGAAAGAAAGGCAAGACAAAACAAAGCATCACCAAAAAAAGTGCAAAATAAAAATAAAGAGAAGGACTCATGATTTCCAACAGAGAATATGATCCATTACGGTCAAATCAATTGTTTACAGTATATCACAGAATTCTAATTAATTAGTTAAGCATTTCATATTTTAAAAACAAATATCGTGTATACTTTTTACAATAGCTGTTAACATAAAGTAGAAATATATCCCTTGACAAAATCTATAAGGCCGTACGTTGTCTCCTTTCATTCTATTTTCCTGTAATCTCACCACAACAAGTTATAATTATATTGAATAAATGGTTAATCTCCAAATAAATTATTCATCTCAAAATATGTTTTCTTCTGTCTAGAATTCCTTGGCCACTCACCCTCACACCTATTTTTCTTTCTCTACCGAAAGTACTTCTACATAATATTAACACAATTTAAATGTTTCTTCCAGTGTAAATGTCTTCTTATATGGTCCTGTTACATACTTTTATTACATGCTTTGTCATCTTGTCAAATAACTGGTGACATGTCTTTGACATCACCTAACGGCGTGAGGCAGGAATCATATTTTATTTATTTTAGCATTTGTAATATTATATACCATATTGAAAACCACATTTTTTGGTGACATGTCTAAGTGATAAAAGTGATTGAAGCATATCTGTTTGGGTACAGTTCAGGCTTGTCAGTAAAAACTACTCTAAATTAATTATTCTATATTCAAAATCTCTTTGGTAAAGGAAAATTAAATTAAAGCTTTCTTCTGATTAAAATGTACAATTATTCTCCCCAGAGTATTTCTTAACATCAAATCATGTTCCTGACATAATTGTCAAGTCCCAAATTATACAAATGTACACATTTTTCTATTAGTGATCAAAGCAAATTTATTTCCTTAAGCAACATGATAGCATATATAACTTAGCTAATTTTAAATTAGATATTATGGAGATACGGAACAACTTTGGAAATCATAAGTGAGCTACTTATGACATAATAACATATTACTAATATTGGCATTTCAACAGTGCATATTTATCTCACTTTGTTATAAAAATTAATTATATTCTTCTTATTCAGATGAAAATACATAGAAGATTTAAAAACTTATGTCTACTTAAGATCTACTCTCTTTGCACACCAAAAACTGTATACAAATGTTTATAGCAATTTTATTCATAATTCCTCAAACTCGGAAGCAATTAAAGTATTCAAGCGAATGGATAAACAAACTGGTACATTTACACAGTGGGATACTATACAGTGATAAAGAGTAGTGAGCCATCTACCCCCACCTTAATAGATACATTTTTAAAAGAATTACAAAACAAATGTACAAACAAAAATAATAAAGAGAAGAACCAAAACACACTATACCCAACAGAGATAAAGAAGTCAGATGGAAAGGCTCTACTATAATTCCACTTAAATGACATTCCGGAATAGGCAAAACTATAGAGATGGTAAAAAAAAATCAGTGACTTTTTGGGGCCGGTGATGGGGCATATCCAATAGGATATTATTCTTTAGGATAGTATAGATATTTTGTAATGTAATGGTAGCTGTAAAGCAAGGGAGGAAAGCCTCCCAAAGAGGAGCTTAGCCCAAGAAGTTTCTTGGCTTTGCCCAGAAAATAATTCAAGGGCAAGTTGGCGATTGAAGAAAAAAGCTTCATTGAAGAGGTAGTATTACAGCTCCCATGGTGTCACAGCTCCATGACTTCTCCTGCAGAGCAAGGCGGCCATGTCTTATGGAAAGCTGCTTCTGCCCTAGCCCTGTTTTAGCTAGTCCTCAACTTGGTCTGGTGTCCAAGCGCCACCTCAGAGTCAAGTCCTGCCTCCTATATGAGATGTATGACAGTATGTTTTTATCAAAACCCATAGAATTGTAAAGCACAGAGTTAAATTTAATGTACACAAATTATAAAAATTATTTGGAAAACTGAGAGACTTCAGAGGATGAAACACACAATGTGACAAAAGAATCAGATTGTACTACCTATGTATAAAACAACTTCACGAAAGAGGATGGGGAAGAGGTATTGCCCTAAGTAACTTTGGAAATGAGTAGACTCTAAGAGTAAATGCAAAATGAACTGTATGTAAGTACTGTATTCTATTAGATAAAGTTGTGCCCCTGAGGAGTGCAGTTTAACAATATGAAACAGGTATATATGCGTACTGGAATTGAATAATTAAGTAAATAAATGCCCAAGGGTAGGAGGTTTTTTTTACTGTTGGAATAGGAAGTTACAGATAAGCAAGAGAAAAAGCTAGAATGACCCACGTGGTAATGAAGAAAGTGGGGCCGGGCACAGTGGCTTATGCCTGTAATCCCAGCACTTTGAGAGGCTGAGGTGGGTGGATCACCTGAGGTCAGGAGTTCGAGACCAGACTGGCCAACATGGTGAAACCTCGTCTCTACTAAAAATACAAAAGCTAACCGGGTGTGGTGGCATGTGCCTGTAATTCCAGCTACTTGGGAGGTTGAGGCAGGGGAATCACTTGAACCTGGGAGGCAGAGGCTGCAGTGAGCTGAGATCGCACCATTACACTCCAGCCTTGGCTACATCACAAGACTCCATTTCAAAAAAAAATAGAAATGGGGAAATATCAGTATAAATTCAGGTTTAGCTTAAAATAGATATAGATGGTTAGTTATATCTAGAAATATTATAGATATATGGATACATCTATGGGTTAGTATACACATATGTATTTCCTTGTTTTTTTCAGCTAAGAGGGCCTAAAAGTAATGACAGCCCATAGCAATGAGCACATCAAGTGATCAGATCTTTGTTTCTAATACTATTGCCCAATTAAGGAAACCAGTTTCCCTTGGAGAAATGGCTAATTCTAGGACTAGAGCAGGAAATAGACAAGATGAGCCTGCAGCATATTGTTTTGCTGGAAAATAAGAAAATATGAAAGAAAGAAAGAGAAAGAGAGAAAGAGAAAGAGAGAGAAAGAGAGAAAGAGAGAAAGAAAAAGGAAGGAAGGAAAGAAGGAAGGAAGAAGGAAGGAAGGAAGGGAGGGAGGGAAGGAAGGATCAAATTGTACTACATATGTATAAAACAACTTCACAAAAGAGGATGGGGAAGAGGTATTGCCCTAAGTAACCTAAGGAAAGAAGGGAGGGAGGGAGGGAGGGAAAAAAGAAAAACTAAAACATATGTCAAAGGCACAAGAACCAACTGAAAGAGTTCCCTATTTTCAAAGTTTGAACAATTTCAGGAAAAATATAAATTAGTATTAGGTTATAACCCATAGTTTAAAATAAATTTTTATGAGTCTTCAGCTTATAATAATGTATTAATAATGAAAAAACAGTTACAAAAATGTTGTCAACCTTGTACTTTCTCATTCTCTTTCTCTTTCCCAACACACGCACACATAGAGCATACACACACTAGTGACACAGGATCCTTTGGGTGCCACTTCACCAGCTGGAAACCTCTGTTGCTGGCAGCGCCTCTGCTCCAGTTTCCCTTGCAATCGCTGGGCTCGCTCTGCTCATTCAGCCCGACGGGCAGCACTCGGCTTGCACTACCAGCCCAGATTTTGTGCCCTCCAAGGGCGCCGAGGGCGAGCCTGGAGCAAAGCAGCAAGGGTTGCAGGGTCCAACTACAGGCACAGCCAGGCACCCCAGCTGCTGTGGTGGGACAGGCAGCTCCAGGCGCCAGCACAAGCACCGGCTCTGTGCGCAGCTGTGTCTGGACCAGGCTTATCAAAAGCAGCTTCTGCCTTGGGCACCAGCATCTAGATGAGGGGAACATGGTGGCGCCCGAAAACTCAGAGACGCCAGCAACTGTCGAGCCCCAAGGGGTGTTACAGCCTTCTGCTCAGGAAGCATTACAGCTCATTCATTCCCGCCTTCCACACACTTCCGCGAACGGAGGCAGGTCCCAGCTCATTTGATCCCGCTTCCCCGCTCTGGCCTGTGGTTCCTGGGCTGGCTTGGTCCCCCCTCTGCTTCCCATCACATGTGGAGGGAGGGAGGGTTACAGTGTTACAGCTCTGGCTCAGGGAATCCTGAGTTCTGGGCCACCTGAATGGTTGCCATTCTTTCCTCCCACAGTCCAGCGAAGGAGAGCATATCACCACCCACAATTTGGCAAGCCGGCCAGGAAGTGTTAAAGCCATTTTTGCTCCCATTGTTCTGCGAATCCCAGGTTCTTGTCCTGGGCCCAAGAAGAATGAAGTTACGTGGACAACCTGAGAGTGAGCAAGGCGGAGAAGAGTTGTATTGAATGCAGAACAGTTCTCAGCAGAGAGGGGACCCAAAGTGGGTAGCTCCTACCCAAAAGCCAGTAGTCCCCCATGTGGCTTAGTCCAGGAGTTTAATGGGCTCAGAATGGGGGAGTGTGTGCTGGTTGGTCCATGGGTGAGCCAGAGAAAAGCACCATTTGATTGGCTAAAAGGCATCATGGAAGTTCTTACTCCAGGTCAAGGACTCTACCCAGAATCTGCAGCTCAGTTTTCAGGTTTCAGGTTGTCTTTTGGCTTGAATGTCGGGTTTTACAGGGGACCTGTCCCTGTCTGCCTAGGAATTTGTCTGTCTCCTGCCACTATCACTAGTGACTCACATAATACATAGAAACTGACATGCTATGGCATTGTTAGTGTTTATTTACCTTCAGTAACTACATGCTTATTTCACTTGAAAAAAGACCTACCCAAGAAGAATTTTGTGTTTATCTAACAACTATTCTATAATAAAGGTTACCTCTAACCCACATCACTTCCAAATATTTGAATTCCAAATTATAAAGACTCAAAAAATCAAGATGATTTTAAAACTTTTTTCCGTATGTTTTCTTTTTAATGAGTCTTTTCAAGTGAGGGAAATTTTGTATGATTTAAAAAATATGTATGGTGATCACAAACACATTTTCTAGTATTCCCAGAAGTACATTTGAATATTAACTATAGGATATTTGAATATTAACACAGAGGTATATTTGAATATTAACTATATTATTCTTTCTAAATCTACCCAATAGTAAATGACTATTTACACATGACTATATTGTTTTAATGTGTGGAAGAAAGGTCTAGAAAAAAATATTAAATTATAAAATTATTTTTTGATGTCTTCAGTTAAAAATTATAGATGAATATCCCAGCTAGTGGATAAGGAGCATAGCCTAAGCTTCCAGTTCCTGCAAAAGTTTAAATCTCTGATCCTTGTCTGTTGTTATCTAATATGTTCATTTCAGAAGCATCTAGTGCAATGAACAGAGTAAGGAGGTAGAGGCCATGTATTATATTGAGGCTGAGGGAATGTGAAAGTTTCAAAACTATTGATTGTGGCATTAAAGAGGTTAGTAAAATAAGTATGCTACCACTAGTGAAGAAACATTATTGAGGTTGTATAGAATTAAGCTTTGGCTCAATTATCCTAAAAACTGGGCTAAAATACTATTAGATTGTAGCACCATTTAATTTAGTGCTGACCCTCCTTTACAGTAGAGCAGATGAAACTCCATGAGAGTTTACAATATTTGAACTGTATGCAAGTAACCCAAGAAGTAATAAATAATTCAATTAAGTGTGCAATAATATTTAAGGCATCCTCCAAAATTTATTATTAGCAGAGCATTTTTATAACCAAATTACTTACACATACACCTGTGTCTGTGTGCATGTGTGTGTGTTAGAAAGAGAGAGAAAGAGAAAGAGGGCTGGAATATGAAAACACTATCACTATACTTATAAAATTTAAACTGTGGAGTTCAGAAATTAATTTCCAAATAACTTCTCCCATGTAGGTATTACTCAATTAATTTTTACCATTAACAAAAGAAATTCAGAAGCCTTCATTTTAACTGGCAAATACAAACATCTGCCAGAATAATATATAATCTTTAATATTTCTTTACTTTTTAACTTACAAGCTCTGAACGTATTGTTGTAATTAGGTACATGCATGAAATAATGTCACTGTCTTAAAATTATAGGAAAAAGTATTTATCATCACATTTCTTAAACAAACAAAAACTCTTGGCGGAAATTGGATGGTATTTAAACATTTTGCTTCGGTTTCTTGATAATCTGACAGCCAAGATGACAGCTCTGATCTTTGGTAGCTGACTACCAAATCTGGGAAATGGAAGCACAGTTCCTCATTTTTCATCATGAAATTTATCAAATTTCAGAGTAAAGTTCCAGATTTTTTGATATTTTTATTCCATCACAAATACATAAAAGACTGCTTTGAAAAGGCCATGATACAAATGAAAAGTGTAAAGGATATCAAATAATTGGCAATGCAATTATAACTGTACATCATTAAAAATAAAACTGAGCCATACATATTGTTGTACAATTGTGATAAATCACTATGAATGTTAATTTTCTGTGTTCTTTGATCTTATTTCTGATAAGTCCAAATTTTTTTAAATTTTATTATTTAAACACTTATGTCTGATACATCAGATATGATTCTCAGCAGTATATACACCTCTGTGAAGCACTACCAACCAACAATGATTATTATTAGCCAAATTTGCAGATAGAAAACTGGGTTTTAGAGAACAGGTAACTCATCCCCATATACTCCCATAGAAGTGATGGAGCTAAGACTGAAATTCAATTAGCCTGTTTCCGAATTAATGTTCTTATCTATTATTTCACACTGCCTCAATTCACCTAGACCCTTATTGATGTTGTAAATAAAATGCAATAATTATATCAAAGCAGATTATTTCTTTATATTAAAATAAATAACTATAGGACAGAATACTTAAGAAAGCACTACTCAGGATAAATATTTAAATTTGAAAATATAAAATGGAGAAGTTATAAAAATTGTTAACAATGATCATTCCTATTATACAGAACATACTTAGCTGTGTTTGAACTAAAAAAATTATTGAATTTTTATATTGCCGTTATATTTCTTGTGACTTCAAGCCTAAAAATTGTCACTTAGTAATAACTTGTTATTACTGTTATTACGTGATTGTGTTTGGCAAAATAATCCTTCCTATCGACTGTGGAATTTTGATGTCTTTCTAAATTTTGCTTTGGGCTCTGTAGTCAATAATTATATTGTAAGTTCAGTGGGCAATAACTATTATAGGAAAACCAGTGACCAGTGAATTATGTTGTATAATTTCTACATACCTATAATATTATTTTAGCAACTAAAAATGTGAAACAAAAATGACAAAGCTCACTTCTCTATTCTACCTAATATATATAGAGAAAAATAACTTTATCTTAATAATTAAATTTGATTTTGTCCCAACAAAAAAGCAAGAAAATGAGTTTTTTTAATAATTTAATTTTTTCATTTTCTTTAGTTTTGACCCATTCAAAATTTCATTATGCTGAATTTACTAACTAGCAGTATTACATACATATTTTTAACATACATGCTGTATTTATAAATATTAAACTAGTAAACTATAATCATTGAAAGGTGGTATTTTAAAAGTATGCAATAAACTTTTAACGAATTACCATTTTTAAAATGTATTTGCATGATCAAAGTTTCTGAAAATGTGACATCTGTTTCCCTGGATGAAATAAAATCATTATAGAATTCCAAACATACTTAAGTATGAAGATCAGCACTGCCTTTTTCTAATTATCCTGGCAAGGTCATCAGAGGTAAGTCGGTTCTATGAAAGAGGCACTGATAAGTTAAATATTCCTAGCTGACTATACCTTTTTCCTGTCATAACCTCTTTGAAACCTAAAGTCATTACTCCTCAGCTACTGAGTATCTTGGAATACTCTTTATTTCTTCTAACTCTTGACAGAACACTTGGTCATAACATCAGATGAAAAAGTTAACTGACACTCTATTCTTATATTATTTAAGGAATGTGGTTTTAGAGAAAGGAAGGTTGGGGGAAAAGGAAGGTAGGTTTAGCCATATTATACTTGACATTCAGATGAAAAAAAATCCAGAAGAGATAGGAGTCACAGGCACAGCAGAGACTGAATGAGTGAGAGGTCTTTCTAATTCAGAATATGCAAAGAGACTGCCACTTGGGGTGAATAATACTGGAGCTGTTTTTCACTTTTGGGGATCCACATTGTTATGCCTATCATGATATAAAGTATGTGCCCTAATAAAAATTTTTTAATTCCTTCTAACAGAATCAAAGAACCAGTCTCTTCAGAAGTCTTTCAAATGGAAATAAGCCAATGAAAGACAATTTATTTGTCTAACTTGTACATTGAATTTCAATGTGTAAGATTCAATTAATCCTGGGAAGGTCTTCAGAGGTAAGTCGGTTCTATTGAAGAGGCACTGATAAATTAAGCATTCCTACCTGACTATACCTTTTTCCTGAGATGACTTCATTGAAACCTAAAATCATTACTCTTGAGATCCTGAAGGATAATAACTTCTCACAAATGTGTTCATATATTCTAGTTTTAGAACATATAGTTCCATATTCTATACTTCACAACATTCCCATTGCCATGCGTTTAACTTCCTATAATTGTTTTAATTGAGACATAAATCTTTTTTGGAGACCAGTAGATATCAAGGAGGTCCATGTTAAATATTTCAAACAAAAATAGGGTGAACTTTTTACTCTGTTTTGATATAATATAATGTTTGATATAGGAAAGCAATCAGCAGGAACTCGCTTTCAAAGTTTCTTTCTTTATGTCTACTTTTCAAACTCCTCCACAAGTTCTTTATTTTCTCATTATAAACACAAAAAATAACTGCCAAATTACACTTAGGCAAATGCTCACTTTAGGGACTGCATCCAATTACTTTCCTTTAAACTTTTGACCTGGTAAAGGAAGTAGGGTCTTTTTCCAACAGGATAGTTTACTTTTTTGCATTCTTAGATGGGGGAGCATTGAGAACAGGAATAAAAGCAGGCTTCATCTCATTTGTCTCTTTCCACAGGCACAAGGCCAGAAAGTCAGCATGCTCCGAGTTAAAAAGAGCTGAGAGTGTTATAAAACATGTTTCCACCTTTCTGCCCTTTTTGGGTTGAAAACAGAGTGGATTGTCTGCCTTGGCAGCTCCCAAAGTCAGTCACCAAAAGATACAGAAAGGCTCAGAAAAGCCTTACCATCTAGAACAGCATTCTTAGTTACAGGAATTTGAAAACTACACTGTAGTTAAAAATTAAAAAAAAAAAAGACAAGATTTAATAGCTTAAAACTCTGAAGCTTCATGGAAATATCATTTCTTAGAAAGGTAAGAGGACCAAATTGTTCTTTGCAGATTTTAGGCATACTCAAGAGTAGACAATAAGCTCTGTACACCCTTCCTCCACAGTACTGATTTTCTAAAGTGAACTTTTTTCACCATTTCTAATGGCAGATCCAGCGGAGTGTATCACTCAATTAAACAGAATTCCATTTGCCTGGTTTTGTTTCACCAAAAGGCAAATCGACCCCTGCACTTGTAAGAAAATTGCAAGGGCATTTAGTCCACAAGAATTCATCAATACCTAAGAGGAAAACCAGATTCCTCGTGTAGCAACTTAATATAAAATGAAACCCATTTTCTGCCTACAAATTTCATAGTCATCCCAGTCTGTGTAGAATTAATTTTTTTATGCTGCAGTACAATAAAAAAGTGGCATTAAATTATGGCTTCAAATTAGAAAAGTAGGAAATAGAGTTAAGATTTTCAAATCAAAATGACTTTCTTAGAGGCCATACTAAGCATATGCCAAACTGTACAGGGAACATAAGATAGAGATATGTGTATGATAAAAATGAATCTTAAACCATCCAGAAATAAAGGAGAATGAAATATCCCCAAATGAGTCTGTGATTCAAAATGTAATGCACTAAATTTTCTAATCTCATCTCATCTAAAAATACTATATATTAAAAGATTTAATGTCACAATCATTGGCTCCTATATATTCTAGTCCTTATTTTTGGCTGTAAATCATTCTTCCAATAACTTATTCTATCCTTCTTTCTCAGATGTTAAGCTCTTCAGTGTTCTTTCATGTGATGTATCTTTCAGACCTCAGTCATTTCCTAACCTTGCTTTAGGCCTGCCTCTGGCTAAAATTAGCTCAGCATTGTCTCACCTCAGATTAGGTAAATTAAACTTGGTGGGCAAGGCTCATCAACGGCACTGAGCATGAGCAAAAACTTCCTTTGGGCAAAATAGCAGAAAATATGCAAGTTAAACTTATCAAATAGTATAATGTGGGATAAAAATATTTCTTGATTTAAGTACAATTCCAGATTTATAATTTTTTTTTATTTTATAATCGTTGATGTTCAAAGCTTAAAAGAATGGCATAAAAAAAAGCTTTCAGAAATTTGCTTATTCAGTGTCTCTGACCAACCTTATCAGTTTCCTGGGATCAAAAAAGTTTCTCAGGAATGCAGGACTTTCAGTGCAGGACTTTGCCAGAAAGTTCTGAACAAATGAGAACTTGGTTTGTGTGTGTGTGTGTATGTGTGTGTGCCATTGTGTGTGTGTGTGTGTGTGTGTGTGTGTGTGTGTGTGTACATGCCCCGTGAGGGGGGATGGCTGGGGTAACTTGGGTGGGCACTGAAGAAATATAACTTGAAGTGACTCATGGGAAGTGATAAATTTCTTAAAAGGGAAAATATTTAAGGCCCAAGGATAGCTTTAAAAGCCTTGAAATCTTGCATTCTGTACTATATCTGTGACCATTTTAATATAAAACCATGGTTTATCTTTAGTGATTAAGTTTCTCCCTTTCCTTTTCCAAACTTCAAGCAAAAGTGGTGTTTCACATTTGTCATGCATTTTCAGATACTTTTTTGGCACACTATCACATGCCTGTAAGAGATAACCACTTCTATTTTCCAACTCTAATAAAATATACACTTCCAAATTGTTGGAATATATATATATATATTTCTCTCTCTCCCTCTCTCTCTCTATATATTAATATGTATATTTAATTATATAGATAATTCACATATGTATATATGTATTATATATTACATGTACTAGCTTATTTTATTGTGAAATATATCACATACACTGAGAGCACAAAATAAACCTACACAGCCCAAGGAATTATCTAAGTTGTGCAATTCCTACCCTAGCCAAGAAACAGAGCATCAGGTATACTTAAGAGAGTCTACCTTATATGCCCTCCCAAACACTATCCCCTTTCCTCCAAAGTAAATTGCAATCCTGATTTTAACGATAATCACTTCTGTGTTTTAGTCTTGTCTTTAACCACTAGGCGTATATTTCTGTACACTCCATTTTATCTTTTGAGTTTTATACATGGAACAAAACATGTATTTTTGTGTGTATCTGGCATATTTTGTTCAATTTTATGTTTGTGAGCCAAATCAATGATGCTGTGTGTAGTGGTTCATTCATTTCCATTGCTGTACAGAATTCCATTCCATAAGTATAATGGAATTTATGTAACCATTTCAATTATAATTAACATTTGAATTGTTTTCAGTTTGCAGCTGACAGAAAAAAAATCTGCTATGAAAATTCTTGCATATGTCTCTGGTTACCCAAGTGTACATGTTTCTATTGCACTGATTAAATTATTATATATAAGAAAATTGCTGGATTATAAATATGAATAATCTGCACTTCTACTATATGATACTAAACCATTTTCCAAAGCTATTCCAAAAATTTACTTTCCTACCAGCGGTGTATGAGAGTTGCCATAGTTCTACATTGTCCCCCAATGTTGGTATTGTCAATCTTGTTAACTTTGGTCATTGATTGAGGATGCCTGCTAGTACTTTATTGTGATTCTAATTTCCACTTTCCTGATTAGTTACTGTGTTGGATTCTTTTTCATATATTCT
This sequence comes from Homo sapiens, assembly GCF_000001405.40. Classification (NCBI taxonomy): domain Eukaryota; kingdom Metazoa; phylum Chordata; class Mammalia; order Primates; family Hominidae; genus Homo; species Homo sapiens. The sequence goes on from NC_000003.12 coordinate 104,964,937, forward strand.
ATTTGGAAATTATCATTTGTGAAGTGCCTGTTCAAGTCTCTTGTGTATTTCTTTATTTGGTTGTCTCACATTTTTCTTATAATTTGTAGAAATTCTTTATATATTATTTATATGAATCTTTTATTAGCTGTACATGTTTCAAATATCATCTCCCACATTGCAGCATTTTACAAAAGTAGGTTCGAATAGAGCTAACTTTGCTGATCATTTCCTTTACTGTTGGTTCTGTTTTGTCGCCTTTTGAAGAAATACTTCCTTACCCTGAATTCATGAAAACATTTTCCATCACTAATAGAAGTTACTCAAATCTTCAATCTACTTGAAATTGACTTTTTGTGTATGACATGAGGTAGATGTTTCATTTCACTTTTAAAATATGAGTATCCTAATTTCTCCCAGATTATTTGTTGGAAAGACTACCCTTTCGCTCTTTATCATATATCAAGTGTCTAAATATTTATGGGTCTGCTTATGAAGTCAATATTGTATTGTGTTCCACTATTAGTGTATTCTTGAACCATTCTCAAACCACACTGTCTAAATTATTGCAGCCTTAACGTAAGTCTTGAAATCTAGAAGAGGAAGTTCTGCCTTTTGGTTGTTTTCCTTTAAGATGTTTGCCTTATTCTTGGAATTTTTATGTAAATTTTGATACTAGCTTATGTAGTTCTATAGACATACACACAAATTCAAATGCCCATTCATACACACTATAGATAGGATTGCTTATCAAGTTGAGAATACTTGACTTCTTTATAGGATTGATTATTCAAATATATATAGTATATCTCTCTGTTTCATTAGATTTTCATGTAATTACTCTCTACAATGTTGTAGCAACATATTAAGTTTTCCTATAACACCTTGAAGATTTTTAGTTAGAATTATAGATTTGTTGTATTTTATGCTGTTGGATAACATCTTCGCATTTCATTTTCTGTTTGCTGCTCTTAACAGAAATATAGTTGATTTTTATACATTGCCTTTGTATCCAACAGACTTGTAAAATTGTTATTAATTACAAGAATCTACTCAAACATCCCTTTGATTTCTTATCTATACAATCATATAGTCTAAATATTCACAGCTTTTTTACCTTTCTAATACTTAAAATTTTCATCTCATTAATACAATCTGACATACAATTACTTATGTATTGAAATTCATTTCAATTTGTCCTACCCATTCTGTGTTTCTGTTCCTTTCTATTCTTGCAGTTACGGGTGTCTTCTATCTTTGCCTGAAACAATAGTACGAATATTCTTCCTGTGTTTTCTCCAGGAAGTTTATTTTAAGCCTTATCTTTGGGACTATGACCTAATATTCTTGTATCATGTGAAGTAAGGATTGAAATTCATTAGTTTGCATATGAATATAAAATTATCTAGCACCATTTTTCAAGACCACCCTTTCTCTATTAATTTAATATAGTACTTTCTTCTAAAATCAATGGACCATGTAAGTCATGTTTAATTGGGCTCACTGTTCTGTTTAATTTATCTATATTTCTGTCTAGTCTTGATTAATGATTTATAGTAAATCGTAAAATTAGGTAGTGAAATTTCCTCCCAATATGTTTATCTTTTTCAAAAGTGTTTTAACTATTTTATTTTCCACTTTATATATATTGTAATCAGCTTTGATTCTGTCCTATGTGAAATTTTTCTAATCCGTATGCCTTTTATATCCTTTCTTTACACTGGATAAGACCACCAGAAGAATGTTAAAATATTAGGAGTAGATATTCTTGTGTTCTTCCTTAGATAGAAAGATTTAGTCTTTTGCAACTGAACTGTAAGTTTTTTATAGATGCCCGTAACCTTGTGAAAAATTCCATTTTTATTCTTAGAGTGGTTTGTTTAATAAAATTTATCAAATTTTTCATTTTATTACATCTTTTAAAATAATCATGATTTTCTTTTTTATTTCATTAATATGATGAATTATGTTGATAGATTTTCACATACTAAAACAAACATGATATTTCTAGAATAAATTCCACTTGGTGATGATTACTTTTCTCTCTTAATATTGTTGTATTCAATTTGTACATATTTTTCTAAAGGCTTTTGCATGTATGCTTTGAAAAACATTGGCTTGTAGTTATTTTTGTTGCATTGTCTTTGTCTAGTTTTGTTTTTTTTTTAATTTTTATTTTAATTTCTTGTAGGTACATAGTAGGTGTATATATGTATAAGGTACATGAGATATTTTGATACGGGCATGCAATGCATAGTAATAACATCATGTAATATGGAGTATTTATTCCCCTAAACATTTATCCTTGTATTACAAACAATTCAATTATACGCTCTTAGTTTTTAAGATGTACACTTATTTTTAAATGTACACCTACATTATTATTGACTATAGTCCCACTCTGTGCTATCAAATACTAGCTCTTATTCATTCTTTCTATTTTTTGTACTCATTAACCATCCCCACTCCCCTCTCTCCATTACTCTTTCCAGTTTTCAGTAACCATCCTTTTACTCTCTATCTCTGTGAGTTCAATTGTTCGGATTTTTAGATCCTACAAATAAATGAGAACATGTGATGTTTGTCTTTCTGTGCTTGGCTTATTTCATTTAACAAAATGACCTCCAGTTCTATCCATGTTGTTGCAAATGACAAGATCTCATTCTTTTTTATGGCTGAATAGTACTCCATTATATATAAGTACCATATTTTCTTTATCCATTCATCTGTTGATGGACAATTAATTTGCTTCCAAACCTTTAACTATTGTGAACAGTGCTGCAACAAACATGGGAGTGTAGATATGTCTTCAATATACTGATTTCCTTTCTTTTGGATATGCACTCAGCAGTGGGATTACTGGACTCTATGGTAGCTCTATTTTTAGATTTTTGAGGAACCTCCAAATGTTTCTCTATAGTGGTTGTACAAATTTACATTCCAACCAAGAATGTATGAGGGTTCCCTCTTCTCCAGATCCTCATCAGCACTTGTTATTGCCTTTCTTTTAGATATAGGCTGTTTTAACTGGAGTGAGATTATACTTCATTGTAGTTTTGGTTTTCATTTCTTTGATGCTCAATGATGTTGAGCACCTTTATATATGCCTGTTTGCTATTTACATGTCTTATTTTGAGAAATGTATATTTAAATATTTTGTCCCTTTTTAAATCAGATAATTATATTTTCCTGTAGAGTTGTTTAAGATCCTTACATGTTTTGGTTATTAATGACTTGTCAGATGGGTAATTTGCAAATATAGTCTCCCATTCTGTGGGTTGTCTCTTCACTTTGTTGATTGTTTCTGATGCTGTGTAGAAGCTTTTTAACTTGATGTGAGCCCATTTGCCCATATTTGCTTTGCTTGCCTGTTCTTGTGGGGTATTTCTCATGAAATTTTTGCCCAGACCCATGTCCTAGAGAGTTTCCCTGATGTTTTCTTGTATCAGTTTCGTAGACTGAGGTCTTATATTTAAGTCTTTAATACACTTTTATTTGATTTTTATATGTGGTGAGAGACAGAGTTCTAGTTTCATTATTCTGCATATGGATATCCAGTTTTCCCAGCACCATTTATTGAAGAGGCTGTCTTTTCCCCAGTGTATGTTCCTGAGACCTTTGTCAAAAACGAGTTTAATGTAGGTGTGTGGATTTGTTTCGGGATTCTCTACTCTGTTCCATTGGTCTATGTGTCCGTTTTTATGCCAATACCAAGCTGCTTTGGTTACTATAGCTTTGTAGTATAATTTGAAGTTAAGTAATGTGATTTCTCCAGTTTTGTTCTTTTTGCTTAGGATAACTTTGGCTATTCTGGGTCTTTTGTGGTTCCATATAAATTGTAGAATTGCTTTTTTCATTTCTGTGAAGAATGTCATTGATATTTTGACAAGGATTGCACTGAATATACCTATATTTCTTTGGGTATTATGGACACTATAACAATATTAATTCTTCCAATTGATGAACATGGAGTATCTTTCCTTTTTTTGGTGTTCACTTCAATTTCTTTCATCAGTGTTGTATAGTTACAGAGATCTTTCACTTTTTTTGTTGTTACTTTCTAGGTATTTAATTTTATTTGTAGCTATTGTAAATGAGAGTACTTTCTTGATTTCTTTTTCAGATTGTTCACTGTTGGCATATAGCAATGCTACTGATTTTTGTACGTTGATTTTGTATCCTGCAAATTTAGTGAATTTGTTTATCGGTTCTAACCTTTTTTTGGTGGAGTCTTTAGGATTTTCAAAATATAAGATCATATCATCTGCAAATAAGGATAATTTGACTTCTTATTTTCCAAATGGGATACCCTTTTTTTTTTTACTTTTGCCTGATTGCTTTAACTAGTACTTTCACTACTATGTTGAATAACAGTGGTAAAGTGAACATCCTTGTTGTGTTCTAGATCTTAGAAGAAAAGCTTTCAGTTTTTCCCACTCAGTATGTTACTAACCATGGATGTGTCATATATGACTTTTATTATGTTGAGGTATGTTTCTTCTATACCCATTTTTTTCAGGGTTTTTATCATAAGGGATGTTAAATTTTATCAAACGTCTTTTCAGCATAAGTTGAAACAATCATATAGTTTTTGTGCTTCATTCTGCAATATGATGTATCACATTGATTGATCTGCATATGTTGTAACATCCTTGCATCCCAGGGATAAATCCCACTTAGTCATGATGAATGATCTTTCTAATGTATTGTTGAATTCACTTTGCTAGTATTTTGTTGAGGGTTTTTGTATCGATGTTCATTGGAGATACTGGCCTATAGTTTTCTTTCTTTCTTTTTTTTTTTTATTTTCTTTGTCTAGTTTTGGTTTCTTGTAATACTGGCCTTGAAGAAAGACTTCAGAAGTCCTTGCCCTCCTCTATTTTTCAGAATAATTTGAGTAGGATTGGTATTAGTTCTTCTCTAAATGTTTGGTAGAATTCAACAGTAAGTAAGACCATCATCTCCTGGGCTTTTCTTTACTGGGTGACTTTTTATTACAGCTCCAGTCTTGTTCCTTGTTATAGGTCTGTTTAGGTTTTAGGATTCTTCATGCTTCAATCTTGGTAGGTTGTGTGTGTCTAGGAATTTCTCCATTTCTTCTATATTTTCCAACTTATGGGCGTATAATTGTTCACTGTAGCTACTAATGATCCTTTGAATTTCTGCAATATCAGTTGTAATGTCTCTTTTTTCATTTTTGATTTTATTTATTTGAGTCTTCTCTCTTTTTTTCTTAGTCTGGCTAAGGGCTGGTCAATTTTGTTCAACTTTTCAAACAAACCCAACTTTTTGTTTCATTAATCTTTTATATTTTTCCTTCATTTCGATTTCATTTAATTCTACTCTAATCTTTAATTTTTTTTTACTCATTTGGGGTTTGGTTTGCTCTTTCTTTTCTACTTTTTAAAGATGACTTGTTAGGTTATTTATTTCATTTTTCTTCCTTTTTTTTTTTTTTTGATGTAGGCATTGACGGCTATAAACTTCCAAGTACTGCTTTTACTGTGTCCCATAGATTATGCTATGTTGTGTTTCCATTATCATTTGTCTCAAGAAATTTTTCAATTTAATTCTTAATTTCTTCATTGGCTCACTAGTCATTGAGGAGCATATTGTTTAATTTCCATGTATTTGTATAGTTTCCAAAATTCCTCTTGTTATTTATTTCTACTACTATTCCATTGTGGTCAGAAAATATGCTTGATATTACTTCAATTTTTTGAACGTTTTAAGACTTGTTTTGTGACCTGACGTATGGTCTATCCTTGAGAATGTTCTATGTGCTGAGGAAAAGAATGTGTGCTCTGCAGATGTTGGATCAAATGTTCTCTAAATATCTATTAGATCCATTTGGTGTGTGGTGCAGATTAAGTCTGGTGTTACCTTGTTGATTTTCTGTCTGGGAGATCTGTCCAACGCTTAAAGGGGTGTGTCAATGTCTCCAGCTATTATTGTATTTGAGACTCTCCCTGTCTCTTTAGCTCTAATAATATTTGCTTTATATATCTGGGTGCTCCACTCTTAGGCATATATATTTAAACTTGTTATATCCTCTTGCTAACTAACCTGTTTATCAATATATAATATTGTTCTTTGTCTCTTTTAATAGTTTTTGCCTTGAAATCAATTTTGTCTCATATAAGTATAGCAACTCCGTTCCTTTTCGCATGTAATATCTATTTCCAAATCTTTATTTTCAGTCTACATGTCTTTTTATAGGTAAAGAATGTTTCTTGTAGGCAAGAGATCAATGAGTCTTTTTCTTTTATCCATTCAGCCATTCTATGCGTTCTTATTGGAGAGTTTAGTCCACTTACATTCAATGTTACTATTGATGAGTAAGTACTTACTCCTGCCATTTTATTGATTTTCTGGTTGTTTTGTAGTTTCCTCTTCCTTTTTTCCTTTCTTCTTTTTAGTGAAGGTGATTTACTCTGGTGATATAACAAAGTTTCTTGTTTTTTATTTTTTTTTGTATCCTGTCTGTGTTTTCTGGGTTTGAACTTACTATTTGATTTGTAACTATTATCTTATAACCAATTATTTTAAGCTGATAACAAAGAAATAAGCAAAATGAAAATCAATTTTGCATAAACAAAGAAATAAGCAAAATGAAAATCAATGAAGACTTTACACCTTAACTTAATGCCCCAGTTTTTGAATTTTCATTGTTTTTATTTATATCATATTGCACTCTACGTATGGAAAAGTTGTCATAGTTATTATTTTTGATTTGCTCATTGTTTAGTCTTACTTTGAGATAAGAGCAGTTTACATACCACAGTTACAGTGTTATAATATTCTGGTTTTCTGCGTACTACTATTACCGGTGAGTTTTGTAGCGTGAGAGGATTTCTTATTGCTCATTAACATTCTTTTCTTTCTGATTGAAATACTTCCTTTAGCATTTCTTATAGGGCAGGTCTGGTGTTGATGAAATCCCTCAGCTTTTGTTTGTCCAGGAAAGTCCTCACTTCTCTTTCAGGTTTGAAGGATATTTTCACTGGATATGCTATTCTATGGTGAAAGTTTTTTTCTTTCAGCAATGTATATATGTCATGTCACTCCTGGCTTGTAGGGTTTCCACTAAAAAAATCTGCTGCCAGATTCATTGGAGCTCCATTTTATGTTGTTTCTTTTCTCTTGATGCTTTTAGGATTCTTTCTTTATACTTCCCCTTTGGGAGTTTGATTATTAAATGCCTTGAAGTAGTCTTCTTTGGATTAAATCTGCTTAGTGTTCTATAACCTTCTTGACTTGGATATTGATATCTTCCTCTAGGTTTGGGAAGTTCTCTGTTATTATCTCTTGGAATAAGCTTTCTACCCCTATCTTTTTCTCTACCTTCTCTTTAAGGCCAGTAACTCTTATTTTTGTCCCTTTGAGGCTATTTTCTAGATTCTGTAAGTATGCTTCACTGCTTTTTATTCTTTTCTCTTTTGTCTACTCTGACTGTGTAGTTTCAAAAGCCTGTATTCAAGGTCATTAATTCTTCCTTCTGATTGATTTGTTTTGCTTTTAAAAGACTCTGATGCAGTCTCCAGTATGCCAATTGCATTCTTCAGCTCCAGAATTTCTGCTGGATTTTTAAAAAATTGTTTCAATCTCTTTGTTGAATTTATCTGATAGAATTCTGAATTCCTTCTCTGTGTTATCTTGAATTTCTTTGAGTTTCCTCAAAACAGCTATTTTGAATTCTCTATCTGAAAGGTCACATATCTCTGTTTCTCTAGAATTGGGATCTGGTGTCTTATTTACTTCATTTGGTAAAGACATGTTTTCCTGGATGGTCTTGATACTTATAGAATTTTCTGTGTCTGGGCACTGAAGAGTTAGGTATTTATTGTAGTCTTCACTGTCTAGGATTGCTTTTCCTGTCCTTAAGAAGGCTTTCCAGATATTCAAAAGGACTTGGGTATTGTGGTCTAACCTGTATCTGCTTTAGGGACACTCTAAGCTCAATAACACTGTGGTTCTTATAGCCTCTTAGAAGTACCACCTTGATGGTCTTGGACAAGGTTCACAAGAATTCTCTGAATTACCAGGTAGGGACTCTCGCTCTCTTCCCTTACTTTATCCCCCCAAAATACAGAGTCACTCTCTCTGTTCTGAGCCACCTGGTGCTGGTGGTAAAATGACACACGCATCACTGTGGCCACCACCACCGGGAGTGAGTGTGGTCACTCCTGAAGACAGCACAGCACTAAGTGTCACACAAGACCTGCCCTAATCACTCCTTCTCCGTGGCCTATGTTTAATCAAGGCCCTAGTACTCTACAATCAGCAAGTAGCAAAGCCAGCCAGGCCTGTGTCTTTGCCTTCAGGGTGGTGAGATCCCCCAGGTCTTGGGCAGTTGTAGAGGTGACATCCTGGAGACAGGAACTAGAGTTAAAAACTTTAGAATTCTAACTGCTATTCTATTGTACTGCTGCTGAGCTGCCAGTCAAACTGCAAGGTCTTTGTCTAATTTTGGAATTCAGTTAAGGCTGACTTCATAAAGTTAGTTAAGAAGTGTTCTCTCCAACTCTATTAAAGAGGTTGTTTAAATTTGGTATTATTGCTCCTTTAAGTGCTTGATTTAATTCATCATTAAAGCCATCATTGCCTGGAGTTTTCTTTGGGGAAAGGCTTGCACTTACAAGCTGAATTTACTTCACTTACTTACTGTGTTCAAGTTTTCTATTTAGTTGCAGGCTGGATTTCTTAATTTGTACCCTTCCAGAGATTTATTCATTTCATATAGACTTTCAAAGTTTTGGTATAAAGTTGCTCATAATATTCCTTTATCATTTTAAAGTCTTAAGAACTTGTAGTGAGGCCCCCTCTTTCTTAATACTTGTGATTTGCATCTTCCCTTTTTTATTCAATCAATTTGGCTAGAGCTTTATCATTTTTTTTTAAGAACTAGATTTTGGTTTTATTGATTTTCCCCTATCGTTTTCTGTTTTCTATTTCATGGTTTTCTGCTTTCTTCTTTATTTACTTTCATCTGTTTGCTTTGAGTTTCATTTACTATTTTTTTTAATTTTTAAAGTTTTTTACATTTTTTGAATTGAGGTAAAATATACATGTAAATAATTTGCAGTCTTTATCATTTTAAGTATGTAGTTCAGTGATAATAAATACATTTATATTCTTTTTTCCCTTCATCCCCAGCCTCTGGTAACCACCATTCTACTCTATCTTCATGAGATCCACTTTTTTAGCTCCCACAAAGGAGTGAGAACATGTAGTAATTGTCTCTCTGTGCTTGGCTTATTTCACTTAACATAATGGCCTCCTGTTCCATCCATGTAGCAGCAAATAAAAGGATTCCATTTTATGGTTGAGTAATTTTTCTTTGTGCATATATATATCACATTTTTGTCCATTTATCCACTGATGGGCACTTAGATTGATTCTATATTTTAGCTATTGCGAACAGTGTTGCAAAAAACATGGCAGTACTGACAATCCATTGATGTATTGATTTCGTTTCATTTGGATATATACCGCGTAGTGGAATTGCTGAATCATTTGGTAGTTCTATTTTTAGTTTTTGTGTGAAACCTTCATACATTTTTGTTAGTGGGAGTAATAATTTACATTAACACTGACAGTGTACACAATGGTTCCCCTTTTCTCCACATCCTTACCAGCGTCTATCTGTTATAGCCTGTCTTTTTATAAAAATCATTTTAACTGGGGTGAGGTGATGTCTCATTGTGGTTTTAATTTGCATCTCTCTGATATTAGTGGTGTGGAGCCTTTTTTCCTATACCTGTTGACCATTAAATCATGGATTTGAGATTGTTGTCCTTTTTAACTATGGCATTCTAAAACATTAATCTCTGTTAGAGAACTGCTGTATCTGACAAACTTTGATATACTGCACTTTATTCATTTTACAACATTCTAATTTCTTGTCGCTAGTTTTGTACTTTCTAAATCTAAATTTTTCTATGTTAACCCCATAATTGCTTAGAAGTATAATGTTAGTTTCTTAATATTAGAAGTGTCTTAATATTAGAAGTGTTATAATTATATTTCTATTATTGTTCCTCATTAAATTCCAATGTGCAAACATTCCATGTCTGGTTTCAAGTTTTTGAAATTTATTGTGACTAGTTGAAGGATGTTTTCTATCCTAGGTAACATATAATGTGCACTTAGGAGAATGTGAAATCCATTGTTGCAAGGTACACAAGTACATACATATATATATATTTATATACATATAAATATATATATCATTTTTAAATATATATATAAATATATAAAATAAATTAATGTGGTTGATAACATTGTTTAGACCTTCTTTGTCTTTCCTAATTTCTTGAGTAGTTCTTTCAAGTTCTTTCAGCTATGACTGTGGAGTTTTTTCTTTCTCCCTGTATATTCTATCAAAATTTGTTCCATGTATTTTGGAGACTTGTAATTCAAAATATACACATTTATACTTTTATGTCTTCTTATTGTATTGAAATTTTGTCATTACAAAATATATCTCATGTCCCCTAATACATTTTTTGAAGTCTATTTTATCTGATATTATTCAGTCCCTCAAGCCTTCATAAGATTACTCTTTGCATGATGTATTTTTTCCCAATCATTCAATTATATCTTACTTGTCTTTCTACTTAAAATGTATCTCATGGATCCAGCATAGTTGCCCTTTTATTTGTTACTTTTGTTTGTTTGTTTGTTTTTCATACAGTCTCTGTCTTTTAATTGAGTCTTTAGTCAACTAATATTTACTATCATTGTTAAAATTGTTGGGTATAGGCCTACCATTTTACCTTTTTGTTGCTTGTCTCATGTGCTTCACTGAAGACAGTTATAATAACCTCTTTAAAATTTGTTTCTTCTAGTTCAAACATCTGGTGCATCTTAGAGCCAGTTTCAACTGATTGTCTTTTCTCTTGAAATGTTGTTACATTTTCTTGAATATTTCTATGTCAGATAATTTTGAACTTTATGCTGAGCATTATCAATGTTAAGTTGTGAAGATTCAGGATTATATTACTTTACTCCATTGTTTGTTTTGTTTTAGGAGATAATTTTCTCGGCTGAGATTGAACTAATACTTTATTTAGTGTACAACAGCCCTGGGCTTTGTTTTGATATTTTTTTCCTTTAGCTTGTCTTTTTGAGTTTGTCTTGCACTTGCATATTTTGGGGACAGTTGGAGATGTGGATAGACAGATTTAGGGATTCTACTCTCTAGCCCTCTTTCTTCTGATATTCTCATTTTTTTTTTTTTTTTTGGCATTCATGGTTCCTGATTTCACTTTTCTGATCCCTCAGCAAGGAATTTTGTAAGAATTTTCAGAGAATGCCTCCACTCACCATCACCCCACTGTTCTGTTGCAAGCACTTTAGTTATCCCCAGTTTAAAAGTTATATGGATGGGAACTTATTTGTATAGCCTCTGTCTCAATTTATCTGTGTAAATGGGCATTCCACACTAGAGAATACCTTTGTTCACATGCCCATGTATGCAGGAGAACAGCTTTTCAGATTTTTTCTCATTTTATGCTTTTTTGCATGTCACAAACTCCACAAAACAGTATCATCATTTGGTAATAGCAATATGCTTTATAAATAAATTAAAATTAAAAAGCAAAAATAAATATATAGACTTTGCATTTACCCAGATGAGGGCTAGCTAAGTAATATTCAGGGCCCAAGGAAACATGAGAATTCAGGACTTTGTTACTCAAAAGGCAGGACAAACTTTTCCTTTCTACCACAATTTTTCTCTTGTAACCTGCCATGGTATTTTTTATTTGTTACTTTATGATGAGCTCCCTCTGGGTTAGGAATCTTATGAGGTGAATGCAGGTCCTCATAGATGCCCAGCACCCTGCCCATTTCAGTGTGCAAGGCACAAACGCCTGACCCTGACCCTTCTTACATCAGCACTAAGACCTACCTGAGGGCAGAAGATAGCAGTGATTGCCAGATGCTGATTTAGAATCCGGCAGCAGAGAACCTATCTTGTGTTCTTGAGGAAGTGTTGGGAAGTGGGACCACATGGGAGCTGAAACTCAAAGTCCCCAGGATTTCACATACAACAGAAAAATTTGAACATGAAATTATTAAGAAATTCCAGACAATGACCACAGAATATTAACTCCCAAGTACAGGGCTTCTTTCTGAGTGTGGATAGGAGAAGGCCAGAGGTGTCCTGTGCAACAGTATTGGTGCCATTCCCGTGAATCTGGCGCTGACCCAGATATTTACCATGTTTAATGTTCCTCATTTTTTGGAGGAATTAATTTTTCATCTTGTCTTATCTTTTTTCATTCTGAAGATCCTCCTTTGAAATTTCTTAATGTACAGGTCTGCCGACAGCAGATTTTCTTTGTTACTTACAAAGCTCTGTATTTCTTCTCTTCCAAGCCAATATAAACTTTCTACCAAAGTATGACTACTTCTTTTCCCTTTCCAGTACTTTCAGGTAGTTGCTTTTTGTACTACGTCTCGGATGTTAGTTGTATTCTTCAGAAGAGGATCATCTGGGATTGTCTTAGTTTCTCATACCTGGAAGCAGGACTTGATAATGCTTTATTATTTGATCCAATTTTCTAGATGACCTCAGAAGGAATGTTAATATGAATTAACTCATTTTTCATTTTCAGAATCTGAAGACTCTGAACAACCACCACCACCACCAAATATTGTATTGATTGCTTTTCTTCCACAGAACAATGGTTATGTAGTTTTTAATTTCATTTTTTCTACTGTAGACATCTTTTTGGGAACTACCCCTTCATGACTTTAAGGCTGAATGTATGTTCTAGAAACCATGAAGATGGGTCTTATGCCTGATCAATAAAATTTCTCTAATCCATTGGTTATGTCCATTTACTAAGAGATTGGTAGATAACCCAGACTGAGGCAAGGAGGAAAAATATCTCTTTTTTTTTCCTACCAATATCAATAGCTAAAAAGAATATGTGTCTTGAACCACTGTAGCTACTACTGCTAACACCGGGTGAGGGTCTGCCTAAGAATGACGTCAGCAGAAAGGGAGACAAGCCTCATATAAGTATTTGAAAGGATTTTCATTTACTGAAAGATAAATTCTGGTTATTCTATGAACTCCTCACTACAGTGGCACCAAAGCCAACATCAAGGCTCAAATTTCCCCAATATGTCAACCAACAAATTCACTTTATTTATTTGTTTGCGATAGAAATGTATAGGTTTTGTCACATGCAATACACTAAGCTCTGAATAATGAATTCTTGTATCTTAAACTGAGAGATGAAATCAAGGCAATTAGGCTTACAAGGAATATTTTTTGTTATTTTTTGTATACATAATTTAATAAAATGATACTATATAAACTAATTTGTAATCTGTTTACCTAATATATTGCACATGTTTTATAGTATATAATTTTTAATAAAAAAATCTCATGAAGCATTTAATATCCTCACCTTTCTTGATAATCATAGTTCAGCAACTACGCTATGTAAAAATGTGGTAATAATGTTGTTGAAATACTTTAATATTGTGGATTCATAAAGCAGGAAGATATGTTGTAAATAGTATTTATTAAATTATTAAATATTTTATTGGTATAATATGCCCAAAGGTATAAACATACATTAATTGATACTCTGAAGCTATTAAATGTAAAGCCACATGTACAGTGTTCACAAAGAAGAAATCTATAACCATTTATTAATAGGTAATGAAAAACTATTTTCTATTGATATGCAGAACATAGGGCAGTGGGATCTCTCTCTTTTTTTAAGCCAGTGCTTTAAAATTTATATGTGATATCAACTAAGTGTCTCGTTTGCATTTGGATCATATCTCTTATGCTTTTTTATTGCTTAAAAACAAAGTTTAATGCTTTTTCTTTCTAGAATTAAAGGATAAATTATACATTTTACACCTCATGCAGGTGTTTTGGATAATCATTAGTTAATAATTCTTAACTACCATGATAGATTTATTTAAAAGCAGAGTACTGAGCATGTTGGGACGTTGTGAATAAAGCACACAAGTTTGCAGAATAACTGGGAAAGTAAGCATTGCCGTAGGAATATTGACTCATTCTCACAGCAAATTACTATACATTAAAATGTATATTTTTTTTACAAAGGGAACCACAAGTTTAACATCCTTTTAGACCTCAGCAAACTCTTACAGAATGTTTTTGAAGTCTTAATCAAAATATATAAAACAAAAGGTCAGAAATCTGGGGGTTTTTCGTTTGTTTTATTGTGTGGTTTTGTTTTTGTTTGTTTGTTTTGAGACACAGTCTTGCTGTTGTCACCTGGGCTGGAGTGCAATGGCAGGATCTCGGCTCACCACAACCTTTGCCTCCTGGGTTCCAGCAATTCTCCTGCCTCAGCCTCCTAAGTTGCTGAGGTTACAGGCATCCGCAACCACACTCGGCTAATTTTTGTATTTGTAGTAGAGACGAGATTCCACCATGTTGGCCAGGCTGGTCTCGAACTCCTGACCTCAGGCGATCCACCAGCCTTGGCCTCCCAAAGTGTTGGAATTACAGGCGTAAGCCACCGTGCCTGGCCAGAAATCTTTTTTCAACACAACAATCTAGGAATAGAAGGGAACTTCCCTAAACCAATATAAGCCATCTATAGAAAACTCATATACTTTCCCCTAAAATTGAGATCAAGACAAGGATTTCTGCTCTCACCACTTCTGTTTAACATTGTATTGGTGTTTTAATAAAGGAAACTGTGCAATAAAAATAAATACAAGTCATCTATATTGGAAAGGAAGAAGTAAAGGATCTCTACTTGCAAATGATGTAACCTTGAATATAGAAAATTCTAAGGAATACACATACACACCACAAACTATTAGGACTAACAATGAGTTGAGCAGGGTTGAAGAATGTAAGACCAATACACAAATATCAAGTGTATTTCTACATTCTAGCAAGAAACAATCAAAATAAAATTAACAAAATAATTTTATTTATGACATTATCTAAAAGAATAAAATTCTCAGTATTTTTAATAGAAGAATTTAAAAACTACACTGAAATCTATAAAACCACTGCTGAAAGTAACTAAAGAGACCAAAATTAATGGAAAGGCATCTTGTATTCATGTATAGGAAGGCAATATTGTTAACATGACAGCACTTCCTGAATTGATGTGCATATTCAACACTGTTACTATCAAAATCCCAGTTAATATTTTGCAGAAATCAATAAGCTAATTCATGTGGTAATGCAAGAAACCTCAAATACCCAAAACCATCTTTACAAAATACAAATTTGAAGTAGTCACACTTCCTGATTTCACATCACACGTCCTGACTTCACAATTTAACTTCAAAGCTACAGTAAACAAAACTGTTTGGTACTGACAAAAGTAGATACATATTAATCAATAAAATAGAATTAAGAGTCCAGAAATAAATGCTTAAATTTATGTTAAGTTTATTTTCAACAAGGTGCCAAGACCTTCCAACGGGGAAAGAATAATCTTCTGAATAAACGGTGCTGATAAAGCTGGATATCCACATGCAAGAAAATAAAGTTGGACCTTTACCTCAGACCATAAATAAAAATTAACTCAAAATGAATCTAAGATCTAAATGTAAGAGCTAAAACTATAAGATTCTTAGACAAAGACATAGGATTATATTGTCCCAAACTTGGATTAGGCAATGGTTTCTTAGATGTGACACAAAAATCCAATGAGACAAGAAAATTTAGATAAATTGGACTTCATCAAAATTAAAAACTTTCATCCTTTGAAAGACAGTATCAAGAAAATGAAAAGATAAATACCAGAATAGATGAAAATATCTGCAAATTATATATCTGATAAAGGATTTGTATCCAGAATATATTTTTAAAAAACTTAGAATTCAATAATAAAAACAGATAAACCAATTTTAAAATGTGCTAAGGACACATTTTAAAGACACTTCTGTGAATAAGATATATAAATGGCTAGTAAGCATATGAAAAGATGTTTAACATCATGACTCATTAGGGAAATGCAAAGGAAAATCATAATAAGATACTACTTTGTACCCTCTGGGATGACTATCATAAAGATGAATAGTAAGCTTTGGTGAGGAGGTGGAGAAATTGGACTCCTCATAGGTTGGTGCCAGGTACGCAAAATGTTGCAACAGCTTTGGAAAATAGTTTAGAGGTTTCTGAAAACCTTATACAAGGGAGTACCATATGACCTAGTAGTTCCACTTCTAGGTATATACCCAAGAAAACTAAAAATTTATCTCCACCCAAACACTTGAGTGGCATATCCATATTATAGAATATTACTCAACCATAAAAAGAAATGAAGTACTGATACATGCTACAACAACAATCAAATTTGAAAACATTACGCTAAGTGAAAGAAGCCTTGGACCAAATGTCACATACAGTATGATTCGTTTTATCTGAAATGTCCAGAATAGACAATTCCATAGAGACAGAAAGTAAATTGGTGATTTCTAGTGGCTGGAAGACGAGGAGAAGGAGGAATGACAGCTGATGGGTAAGGAGCCTCTTTGGGGGTGATGAAATGTTCTGAAATTACAGAGTGGTGCTGTCTATGGAACTTTGTGGGAAAAAAAAAGCGTGTTTTGTTTTTTTTTTTTCTTTTTCAGACAGAGTCTCGCTCTGTCGCCCAGGCTGGAGTGCAGTGGTGCGATCTCGACTCACTGCAAGCTCCGCCTCCCGAAAAAACCCTGAATTTTACATAATAAAAGGGTGAATTTTATGATATGTGAATTATTTCTCAGTAACACTGTTTTATTTGTTTGTTTTTGAAATGGAGTCTTGCTCTGTTGCCCAGACTGGAGTGCAGTGGCACGATCTTGGCTCACTGCAACCTCTGCCTCCCAGGTTCAAGTGATTCTCCTGCTTCAGCCTTTTGAGTTGCTGGGATTACAAGTGCACGCCACCACGCCCGGCTAAATTTTGTATTTTTAGTAGAGACGGGGTTTCACCATGTTGGTCAGGCTGGTCTCGAACTCCTGACCTCGTGATCCACCTGCCTTGGCCTCCCAAAGTGCTGGGATTACAGGCATGAGTCACCACGCCCGGCCTTGTTTTGTTTTTAAAGTCAAGAAAGAAATCATGAGATGAAAGAATCTCGTCTTGATCTGGACATTACATAAGTATCAAGCAAAGTAATTTTTAAATGAGGATTCTTTCTCTAGATTGCTGAAAATAATATATAGCTTCCTGATAGTGGCAAAGACTGTTGACTAGTCAATAACTTAATTTCATCTTATTTTAGAATTTAAAAAAAACACAATTATTATTTGGGACCATAATGAGTGAGCTCTGACTAGTCATAGAAAGGAAAGCAGTAGTGAGGTGTACTTTTTTTCCACTCTGGCCCAGACAAAGCTCTCATGTAAGGTCCTGCGTAATCTTTACCATTCATTGGCTTAATAGAAACAGGCACAAAGAAAGCCATATGGTGAAGATAGCATAGTTACAGTAAAAGGGGCTGACATAATGAAACAATTACAAGAAAGCCTCTCAGAAAATCACTAGCATCACTCCAATATTTAAATAAGCTAAAACTAAACTTTTGTTACATTTTCCCACTAAGATATTGGAGTTTACCCATTACTCCAGGTAGTACTATTTTTTGTTTGTTTGTTTTGTTTTACTATAAAACCATTCTTATTAGGGAGATTCCAAAATTAGTAAAACAATTACAGGAAAATCAAAATAATCAATCAGAAGCATTACATGGAGACAATTCAGGTAAAAGAGTTAGTATTCCAGAAAGAAAATGAGACTGACTCTTTGAACAGTCATAAGTGTCTCCCAGCATTCACTATATAGAATATAAACAAAAATAAGCAATTGACCGTTTAGATGGCAAGTTTATCATTTTAGCTTCTTAAAAACTTTCAAAATGAAATTTCTTACCATAATTGGTAGTAATATAAATTTCTATCACCTTAATTTTTTGATAGGAGAAATTGTTAAAACTCTAATTTGCAAATACTTGAAGCCAGTTTTACAATTTGCTTCTTCCTAAATTCTTTGTTCCAGTAAAACTTAAATATTTTATGTTTAGTTCTACAAGTTCAACCTATAAAAAGCAAAGACAAATTACTATACCTATTCCCTTCACACAGGTAATTTTCAAAATTACAATCCAATATATTTAATTATCTGCAATTACTCTGAAATTGTTCTTCAAAAATAAAATGCATTATTGTAATAGGAAATCATACTTCAAATTTGAGAAGGGAAATTGCATCAGAAATGTTTATCGTTTATATTTGATTTATTTGAGTACTAAACTGTTAACCTAAATTACACATTATATATCATGAAAATTGAGGTGTAGCCTAATTCTATTCAATTGTTTTGGATGGTTATCATGAAAGCCTGTGGCAGTTTTTTGCAGTCTCAGATAAAATATATCATTTTAATGGTGAACAAAAAAATGTGGCAAGGCCATTTTGATGCAGAGTTATTGATATTTAAAAAAAATCAACATCAAACAAGTGGGGTTTTTTGTTTTTTAATTATTAAAATGTATACACATCAAACTTCCATGATCCACATCCTATTAGTGATTACTCCCTAACCCTAAGCCTTAAGGTTAAGACTTAAGTATTGACTTAGAGTTGTGTTTAATGTTGAGCAGAGGGTTAGGAATGGGATAAGGATGTTATTTATTCACATTACTTGTTAATAAGAATGCTTAAAAGTCTAGTAACCCAACCACATCCATTAACTCACCTTGGAGCCTCTACTTTCAAACTTATTCCAGGGAAGACCACTTTTCACCACGTTTACTCCTCATTCTTGATCTACTTCCCATATTTTCTTTTCTGAACTACTATAAAAGCATCGTAATTTATTGTCTTGCTTCAATCTTACCTGCTGCAGCAAATCAACATAGAGGGTCCTTTAAATACATAAATTAATTCCAGTACCTTTAATACTCAAAATAGTCCGCTGACTTCCCACAAACTTGAAAAGAAGCCCAAACTGGATCTTGATGTCAAGGCCTCACTGATGATGAGAATAGGGTCACTGGCTACACCTCTAACCACACCATCTACGGCTCTTTTCCTTCTTTATTCTAAAAGAGCCACACTGGCCTTCTTACTGTTTCTTTTTTTAAACTGCTTTATTGAAGCAAACATTACATACCGTAAGATTCCATCCTTTTTTTTTTTTTTTGAGACAGGGTCTCATCATTCTGTCACCCAGGCTGGAGTGCAGTGGTGCCAGCATGGCTCACTGCAGCCTCAACCTCCAGGGCTCAAGAAATCCTCCTGAGTAGCTGAGACTATGGGTGCACGCCACCATGCCTGGCTAATTTTCTGATTTTTTGTTAAGATGAGGTCTCACTGTATTGCATAGGCTGCTCTTGAATTCCTGGGCTCGAGTGATCCTCCTACTTTGGCCTCCCATTGTGCTGGGTTTACAGGCATGAGCCATCATGCCCGGCCCATTCACTTTAAGTGTACATTTGTTTTAGTAAATTTATACTATTCTGCAAATATTAACTCTGTCTTGTCTTAGAACACTTCCTTTATTTCAAAAAATTTATCTTGTGCTCATTTTCAGTTAATTATTCTCCCACTGACAGTTCCAAGTGACTGCTGATATGCTTTCTACATCTCTAGTTTTCCCTTTTGTGATAATGGAATATAACAGAATCATACAATATAAATAAGCTGTTTACATCTGGCTTCTTTCATTTCGCATAACATTTTTGAGGCCTGTCTATGCTGTAGTATATATGTCATTCATTCCATTTTATAGGCATGCTACATTTGTGTATCCATTCACCGCTTTATTGACCTTTGAATTTTCTCATTATTGCCTATTTTGAATAATGCTCCTATGAACATTAATATCCAAGTCTTCGTATGAACATATATTTACATTGTTCTCTAGTAGATTTTATTTCACATTCAATAAAGTTCCTAGTTATCAAATAGTTATGTGACATGTGTATTTAACTTTTTAAGAAACTGCCAAACTGTTTTTCAAAGCAGATATGCCATTTCACATTCCCACCAGCAATATATGAAAGTCCAGTTTCTCCACATTCATGCAACACTTGATACTGTTAGTTGTTTTCATTATAGTTATTCTAGTGAATATATATGGTATTTCATTGTGGTTTAATTTATGTCTCTCTAATAATTACTTAGGTTTAGAATCTTTTTATGTATTCAGTTACCATTGGTATATCCTCTTTGGTAAAGTGTCTGAAATATTTTGCTCATTTTTTGAAAACTGGATTGTTTGTCTCCTTGTTATTAACTCGTACGTGCTCTTTGTACATTTTGAACATGCAGTTTCAAGCACATAAAATTTTGCAATTATTTTCTATTCATCTGTAGCTTCTCTTCATGTTCTTACATTTTATTAATTGCATTTTTTTTAACTTTGAAGAAGTCTTCACTACTTTTTGAACAAACTAAATGAGACTTAACTTCCTTACTCTTCATTTTGCTGAAAAAGCTCTGTCTCTGGCTCTCACTCCCTCATTTTCTTCAAGTCTCAGCTCAAATGTCACTTTCTCAGAGAGTTCTTTATCTGATATGCTTTATTTTGTGGACATTAGTGCTATCTAACCAACATATTTAGGCTTCCCCACTTCCTGGGTACCCTGTGGTTGGGTAGAGCATGCGACTAGTTTTGGGCAATGAGTTACAAGTAGAAATGAGACATGTCACATTTCCCGGTTCTAGTCCCTCCAGAATTTTCTTTTCCCTGAAGCACAATGACAAACAACAGTCAAGGTGGTGCCTGTTTCTTCACCCTGGGTCTATGAGTAATTTCAATAAGCAGAGCCCGGTGCTCTGTTTATACCAATGTACATATGGTATAAACAGGAAAAAATCTTTGTTTATAAAGACAGTAAATTTTAGAGGTGTATTTGTTACCACAGCATATTCTGATTGACATGCCTTCCTGAATAACTTTCCTATGGAAATTCTCTATCCACTTACACTGACCTAGAACCTGACATATGTCTGCCTTGCCTTCCAGCACAGAAATTCTATTAAGGTAGGGATATCGTTTGATTCACTGCTATACCTGTACACCTAAAACAGCCTTGCACATAATAAATACTTGTGAAATATATGTCAAGTAAAAATATGGCCTAACATCAAGAAAGATGTGCTAAATTAGACATATCAAAACAAAACATAGTCTTTAAAACAACATGCAAGAATATTGCCAGATTTTATTTTCTTCTGATTGTTTGTTCAAAGCAGCAAAGTTTGATTGTATCTAGAATTGGACTTCCATTGCTAAAAGTTTTTATCTTTGATAAAACTTATAAATAAAACACTAAATGGAAAATTATTTAATTCCTCTAAGACTGCTACTCTAGGCACTCTATACATTGCTTGCTAAGTGGAGAACTTGGGCCAATGCTTACAAATGTAAACACCTATTAGTCTTGCATTATGTTTTAATCAACACTCACCAAGGAATTATATTCTTAGCTAGACATGGCAAGGCATGATTTTACCTTGATGTGTCAGCATTTCTATTTATCTATTTCTTCATAGCCTGCTAACCCCCTCTGTGTCCCATATCAATTTGTAATAGATTGATCATGTCAACTACTCTTTTCCCCCTTCCATTATAAATGAGTGTCTTGACTAGACCAGAGAAGGAATATAGACGTTGCTGTTGTATAAAGTTAAGACCTCAACCTTATGCCTATTCCGACCATAGTCACATACGACCTTCCCTCCTCAGGACTGCACACTTTAGGCACAATCTTCCTGCACTGATCCCCTCCCATGAACCTTGGCTCACTTCCTCAGTTTCATCATATATTGGCTCAAATTTGTCCTTCATTACAGGCAATCCCTACTCACTCTATGTCAAATTTAAAACCATCCTCATTCTTGACACAACTTAATACCACTTCCTTATTTTATTTTTCTCTTTAGCACTTATTTTTATTTTTCTCTTTACTATCTGGTATGTTATTTCTTGAATATTTAATTATTTATTCTATAATCACTGTGGAGAAAAAGATATCTGAATTTACAAATATTTGCATCTCTCTCTTTTTTGAACATTATGCCTATGTCATTGCCTGGTGCATTGTGAAAAATGAATACATATTTGTTGAATGAATGAACCAACTTACTCTAATAAGGACTAGGAATCTCCCTGAAGGAGTGGACAGAGAAGATGAGGACAAAAGGCTTTTTACAATGATGTCCAGGTCTATACAAATATTTTTAATATACTGGGATACCCTAACAGAGGAAAAATTGCAGTTTATATTGAGCAAAAACTCATTATAAGGAAAGATACTATGACAAGGACTAAGAACATGATTCAGTGACAAAGACTGAGATTAGCCATCAGTGGTAGTTGTGCTTCAGCATAAAACCCACCTTGGTTATCAGTAGTAGCTCATGGATATTGAAAGAGGTGCACCACACTTATATATATAACACTTAGAGCACTTATGAAGCTAAAGCTTCCCCCTCACTTCATTAAAACTACTATGAGCAAGTCAAGCCTCCATATCCATAAGTGGTATCTAGTATCAGTGACAGGTGGCTGATTTTAAACTCTACCAGCACCAGATCTGTAGAGATGCAACAGAACTATATTCCACCACTACCTGGGTTTTGCTTCATAAAGGAAGAAATGTTATGGCTTGTGTAAAATTGATATTGCAGAGCGCACACCTGACTAACTGTGAAAGTGACAGAAAAATTCACCATTGACTATTGGCATTCTGAAGCTCAAGTAATCTTATTGTGCAAGCCCCACGGAAGAGTAATGAAAAAGGCAAATTCTCCTTCCCACTTCTTATTTGTGACAACTAAATATACATGACTGAAGCACAACAGTTGGTGTCTGGTTCCACTGGCACTGGGAATGTTTTCTTTCGAGATATACACATATGTACAATATATAAATATGGGTGGCAATTGGTAGTCTTAATGATGGAAACAACATTCTAGCTGAGGGAGCACTTCTGTGGAATGTTAGAGACTCCTAGTATGATTATCTACACTTAGCATCAATGAACAATAATCAAAACAAAACTGCAGGCATTCAAGATTCTTGAAATTACTTGAGGAAAAAAACCTCTGGAATAAAAATCAGTATCCCTTCAATCATGGAGAAAATGGCAAAGAACTTTTTATATTTGGAAGTCAAAAATGTCGCCACCAACTGGTGAAATACAATAGAAATCACAACAAATTCTCAGGGATCTATGCTTGAAATCTCCCTCTCTTTCTCTGTGTGTGTATATATATATGTACATATATACACACACATACTCACGTATATATACACATATGTATATGTATATCTATATCTATATATATACTTTTAGAGATGGGGTCTTGCTCTGTTGCTCAGGCTGGTCTTGAACTCCTGGATTTAAGAAATCCTCCTGCCTTGGTCTCCCTAAAGGGATTATAGGCATGAGCCATCACACCTGACCTATAGTTTATATTTTAAGCATAGGGTTTTTATGAACTAAATTTTTATAACCTGGCTGCCATCAATGCTAACTTTCCACTGTACACATACAGGCAATATAAAATTTTAAGACAGCATGATCTTCAGTTTAGTACTGGAAAATATATTTGTACTTATTATCTATTTTCTTCAGGAATGGTTGCAAAATCTTGTCTGCTGTGGCATACGGGGTCGTGGCAGGAGGCTTAAAAATATCCTGAAGTTTTGGATCGGAAAATTAAGACTTCCAGGCAAGTACCATTATGTAGTCTTCCTCACTGGAGAGAAATTATTACTGCAATAGCTTCTATGCCACAGGCTATTAAATGATGTCACTAAGTGTTCCAGTCATCAAATTGTTTTCTGCTTTATCATTTAATTCTGTGTTTGTTAGTCTGGCACAGAAGAGGAGAAAGTAATATTATTACTTACCTCCCCTCTCAATTGGGATTCATCCCCCATGCTGAAATCTACACCACCACTATTAATGATTATACCAATACAGAGCAAAGTATAGTCAACTCAGAGTTTCCCTTGTATGGATACTCTACCTTGAAGACAATCTAGATAAATTGTAGCCATTCAACCAACCTGATTATTTCTAGGCATACAGAGTTAATTTCCTATTTTTCTCTGCCCTATTCTTGTATGTGCAAACTCTAGCCCCTTGAAAATGCATTCAAGAGTTAAAGTTACATGACATTGGAATGAGATTCAAATGTAGACTACAGAAGACCTCAAACTCAAATGATTGAGTAAATCCAAAGTCGAACCAAAAAATCTGGAGTCTAAAATGCCAGAGGGAGATTTATGCAGTCACCACATCCGACTCACCTACAGGGCAAGGAAAAAAAGGATTTCGTAAAATTTTTCTAAAGATGCAAATAAAGAGTGAACATACTTTTTAAAAAATATGAGCTGTTTCTTCAATGTGATTTTATTAAGAGACTGAACTACTGTTGTGTATAGGGATGATAGTCATACCAAAGAAATCCAAAAAGAAAGAAATATGATTTGGGAACTTTAAAAAGATAACAGAAAATATTGCAATGTTTTGTATTATACATTCTTCTTCTACACTGAAGTAAATAATCCAGAACTGGTGTTTTAAACCTGTCCTACACCACTACACTTTCACAAAATAAATGTTTGTATTAATATGTGATTAGACAATATAAACTTTCCCATTTGCAGACTCTGTAATACATTTTAATAGAAAGATGTAAATTTGACTAAAAAATGAGAGTTCATGTTTTTAAAAAGTTCATGTTGTTTTTAAAAGCCTTTCATCAAAAATTATTTGAAATGGAGAACTTTAAAACTATTTAAAATGTATGGGTGTCCTCAGGTTTAAAAATGCATGTACATAATTTTTTTTCTGTTAAGTAACCAATTATTCTGCTTTAAAGAAAGAGTCAGTGAAGAGGCTCAAATAATAGCTCAGTTCATTTCACATAATTAAAAATAACCATATTTTACAACATATATATGCTTAGTTAAATTTCAAGCATTATCTAAAACCTTATTCCCAGCTATTGTCATAGCAAATCGGACTCTGTTTACTCCTACACATATTCACCATGTTGCTAATGAGAAAGGGACACTACAAAGGTAAATATTAGGTGCCACAGTTCACACTACCATTTAAAAATAGAAATATGGAGGTGCAGCCAACATTAGAAGTCACCCAATGCCATCACTCATGAGTACTTAAGTAGGCACTTTCATGTGACATTAGCCCTTCTCTGTGGTTTAAATTCCATAGGATGATTACAGGAGAAGGAAGCCTCTCAGCAAGCCAGATTGCTGCTTTCATCCCAGTTAGATTGCTGCTTTCATCCCCTCATTTCATAATAATCCACTATAATGAATTCACAGTAAAGATTCATAATAGATGCATAGCAGCTGCCTTTTCAAACTTAAAATCTCTACTTTAAAAAATTCTGCCCTATTAGAGATGACAGAATTATGTATTTATAAAATATCACAAAACTGATTTATGGTTTGTATTAACAAAATAACAACCAATTTCTTGTCAAATATTTCTACTCCTAAGATTTCAACTAAAATATATATTTTTAAAAGGGAAAGAAAAGCCCTGAATCTGTGACTCTGATTCATTTAACATCAACTGATTTAAACGTGAAATTATGAGACACATTTGTTCATGAGATCTTCTGTTGTCTCAATATTTCATATGATCATGACTATTTTTGCCCATATAAAGCTAATAGTTTCATGCTGACAGCTACAGAAAATAATTGATGTTACCTTTAAAGCTTTAAAAAAGGTCTAAATTTTGATAATTCACCCTGGGATCAATTTCTACAAGGAAATGTATTATGTCTGAAGCTTTTGAGACATTGTGATTTATAGAAATTATGATCTTTCTCAGTAATTTTTCTCTAAAAATCATATAGATTATTGAATAGAATCAATGGAGGTAAAAGACAAGTTCCTAATCTTAAACCACTGATCTCTTTGTATTATCTTCTTAAAAAAGATTCAAAAATAATATGTTTCCAATGAATATATTGTGTCACGATTATCACATTCATAAAGGTGACAACATTGCTTAGTCACATACATGGTTGCCATGGTTATACAGAAAAAAACTGTAGTTACACACCAACATGTTGATAGAGACTGTTTCTGGGTTGTTAATCTTTGCTTTCTATATTGTCTCTCATTTGTTTGTTCGTTTCTAAATTGAAAATGTATAACACAAAAAATAAAAATTGTAAGTTCATCTAGTCATCTACATATTAAAATAGCCTAACAAAACTAGTTTAGAGATTTGGATACACCCCCTAACGAACATGAAAAATGTAAATATACAGCAAGACCCTTCAGACTTTCCACTAACTGTAAAGTCTTAGCCTGGGAGATGAATAAAACATAAAATGCTACTAATTCACTTGAAAATGGAAAACTAACTAAGACACTGAAAATAATTATATCAAAAAAGTGACTCATAAAGGATGAAGAATATGCTTAGTTTTCATACTATCCAAACTTTCCTATGTTATAGTTTGCACCTCTGTTTGTTGCACAAAGAGTTCAGAATTTTGTGCTGGCAGACAAACATTTCAGGATTTACCATTTTTAGATTTTGCTGTAATATTTTTTAAGTGAATATAAAACAACAACAGAAAAGAATATGTTGTTCTAGTGATAAAAAATATGTCTCGTAAACTTCGTATAATTGAGATAATGATTGCAATCATCAGGTGTGTCAAATGTGAAAATCATTAGGTGTGAAAAAACCAGTCATAAGACTTAAGCTTGTCAAATATGGATTTAAATGCGAATTAAAAGAACAAAATTAAAGCACAGGAATGAAAGCCTGGCTATATCATCAAACATCCTCAAAGGTGAGGTATAATTAAGTAAATTATAATATTTTTAGTCTTCTCAGTAAAGAATGTTCTTTGTATAACGTGAAAATATATTTTTCTGACATATTTAAATTTCCATTACATTTGCAAGTAGGCTCAAGGAAATACTGCTATATAAGTGTGTTGAGAATGAAATTACCCCACTACTGCCTTGCAAGTTATGTATTTGTTTGTCAATTTTATAAGAGAAAAAAACTAAGGAGACTCACTCAAGATGTACAGCAATGGACAGAATTACAGATCAAGTCCATGTCTTTCTGATTCCAAAAGTCAGACGTCAGACTGTTTCCATTTCCATTATACTCTTTTTTTTTTTTTTTTTTTGAGACGGAGTCTTGCTCTGTCACCCAGGCTAGAGTGCAGTGGCGCAATCTTGGCTCACTGCAAGCTCTGCCTCCAGGGTTCGCACCATTCTCCTGCCTCAGCCTCCCGAGTAGCTAGGACTACAGGCGGCCGCCACCGTACCCGGCTAATTTTTTGTATTTTTAGTAGAGGCAGGGTTTCACTGTGTCAGTCAGGATGGTCTCGATCTCCTGACCTCGTGATCCGCCCTCCTCGGACTCCCAAAGTGCTGGGATTACAGGCGTGAGCCACCACGCCTGGTCCCATTATACCATTCTTTATTCAAATCAAACAAATAAAAATTGTTTAAGATACAGATTTTCAATATCTAGTGAATTTTAAGAAGAATCAATGAAATTACTAGTAAACACATGGAATATCAAATCTGAAGGAATCTTGGAAGTTATCTAATCCATACATCGCATTTAGTGACTAAAGTACTGAAAGAGTTATCTGAAAGATCAAAGGATATAAAGAAGGGGGTAATATCATTTTACTATCAATCTGGTATCTCAATAGTAACTGCTTGAGTTTCCTCCAACATGAAGGTGTAATTGGAATGCAGTGTAGTTTCAAGTCTTCATTTCCTTCTCTTTTACTTGTCTCTGTCTTTTGCTTCCAGGGAATGAAGCATCTGTTGCCAATTAGGCTCATCAGCACTCTACCATGGAGTCCCCGCTGATCCACTCACTCTTGTTAGTGGATCAGCAGGGGCATATGGCTGCTTGGGATGGGATTTTAACCTCCACCCTGCCAGGGTCCATGCAGGAACCATTCATCCCACCGCAGTGATCTCTGAGACTAAGTACATATGCGCATCAAGGTTCTGATGCCATGGTAACCAGTGGGTAAGGAAGTCATTAAGAACACAGAGTAGTACTTGGAACTTCTGCACATTTTCATGGCTGCCAGCTGAGAGATGCAAATACTGTTTTCTAAACACCACCTACAGCTACTAGGAGTCAACAGGAATATAGTATTTAATCAGGAAGTAGTATTTCGGATCAAGACAGAAAATACCATTTTGTTTGCACTTTTATGAATATTTGAGAAGAAACCTTTTGCTATGTATTTTGATTTTTGTTACATCTCCTCTATACAACATTTAAACATTCTCATATATTAATATTTAGGTTTGCATGTTATGGGATAAATATCTTTCTAATTTCTCAACGCTCTGTGGTTCATATATCATATGATAGATAGTACATACATTTGTAAAGTCCACATAACTTTTTTCAATTCAATTCTAGATTATCTAACTAGTTTATGAACATGTGAATATATACATATTTTAGTTGACATAAAAGGGAGTATAAAATTGACTAAATCTTATCCAGTCACATTGTGACAACGCTATAATTACTATGAGCATTTTCATTGTAATAACTTTTTTAAATTATCTTTTTTCTGTATATTTCTGTCTTTGACATTCAGAGTGAGTTACAAACTTGATCTGGATTATAACATGGTATGTGCTTACAATGATCATCCAAATGAATACTAAACATCTATCTGTTTGCATAGATATGTGTATCTGTACATGTGTATATATATTCATTTAAACTATTATTTGGGTTGAATACAGTTACATATAAGACTGATTTAATATAATATCTTAACAAAATATAAGAGCTTTTGAAAAGAGAAAAATCAAGATATATTTTTTCATGCTAATGGCTTTCGGAAGTCTTCTGTTCTCCCATCACTTTTTAATAGTATAACTGAAGAAACTTCTGTAAACTCTCTCAAATCCTTTCAGAATGAAGCAGATAATAAATATGTATATAAGTATAATAATTTACATGGTTATTAGATTAAGTGGATACAAACCTGATTCTGAGAAGAAAAAGGATAGAATTTCATTTATGCTGAAAAATGTTTATCGCTAAAAACAAATGTAGCCCTGATAAAGGAATCACTGTCAGAAAAAAAACTACTAAAACTATATTAACTTTTAGAATATTTGCCATTGTCTAAGTGAGTGAAAATTCACTAAAGGTATACTGAGGAGCCCATCAATATTTTGTCCAGTGAAAACTAAATATCTGATAGGCTCATAATAATGGGTTTGTATTCATTTAAGACAGCATAGTAAATATATAAATTTAATGAATTTAAATTCTAATATCTGTCCTAAGTGTCTAAGTGTTCGAATACGACAACATTAATTTTTGAGAAAACTTTGGCTCTGTATTGGGTACATCTATTACCCACACATAGGCAGATTTAGGACAGTTTCTTCATCATAACAGAAACCACTGTTGTCATGTTAGTATGTAGCTTTTAGAATAAATGAATAAACTGTATACCTTTAAACAATTTTAATGCAGGCCGAGACAGAAGAATTCAACAATGCAATGATTGACATTCACCACATGCTCTCTTTGATATTTGAGAGAACCCAACTAACAGATATGTTAAACTTCCATTTCTCAAAGCCTAAGCTAGATTCCTATATTATTACATCTGGTCTATATTATCTTGCCTCCCCTAGAGTTATGCTTTTGCAGTTAAGACATAAAGTTATGTCTTCAGCTTTTCTTTCATTCTTTTTCACTAGAAACATCAACTTAAATTGTTCATATATTTTACAATCCTGCTGTCAGAGATATTTGGATATTAAATGATGTTATATTTCTTGAAGAATCAGCCATAGGATTGATTTCTCTTTAAGCTTAGTACTAGGAAATAGTCTATCTCTGCAAATGAAATTGTACTTCTTTATTGTACAAGAATTACGCATAGCTTTTTGGTGTGTTTTTTTTGTTTTACTTTGGCTTCCAGGATTTTGAGAGCTGAATTCAATACTCAGCGAATGTAACAAATATTTCTGGGTTGCTGGTACAGTGATCTTTCTTCTATTTATGATATAAGGTCCCTAACATTTCTGGGCCTACTACTCCTTTGAGGACATAATCAAAGTTATTAAGCCGCTGCCAAGACTAATGAGCACATACACAAAAAACTGAACATAAACTTTCAGGGATTTCAGTGATCTTAACCATAGGTTAAGCGCTCTTTTAAAATGATCTCCGATCCACCTTTTTGTTTTAACATCACAGGGCTAGTGTTTAATCTTATAAGATTATTTAGAAATTCCTTAGCAGAAAACAAGTTCTAAATTATAAATTCAAACAATTTGAATATAAATAAAATACATAGAAATAATAATATAGCAATAATATTAAAATATTGATAATAATAAAATACACAATATCAATAACTTCTTAAAGGGTCATTAATCTCAAAATTAATCAATTTGCCTCTTGTTTATATTATATTTTCTTTCCTTCCTTCTGCTAGGAGTGGATATTGAAAAGGCAAGATTATACACAAAGACCAAAGGTTTATAAACTACATCCTAAATATTAGCAGTATATTTCTTTACATCCCCTTCACCACAATCCTATTTCAAGCTACCAAGCCCTAGTTATGCCACATAATAGGTCCTAGATTTCTTGATTGTTCACTGAGAACCTTGATATCTATGGAATCCTAGAATCATTTTGAATCTCTATCCAGCATCAGGGCTCATATTATGCTTTGTTATTCCATCCAATACACTGAAATACTGAAAAGTCACAGAAAACTATTATCATCCTATATCTCTCAATTGGAAATGTTGTGGTAAGTTGATTTTCTAAAGGCAGCTCCTTGATATAAAGATTTTTTCTTTTACAGAGTCCAATTCACATTCTTAAATTCACATTCTTAGGGATCATTTAAAAAACTACAATCTGTGTGTGTGTGTGTGTGTGTGTGTGTGTGTGTGTGTGTATGTTTTAAGATGGCCAACTAGGATGTCAGATACCAACTCCCTTCATAAGGAAGATCAAAGTTACAGGTGAATGGTCATGATCCAAATGAAGAGCTGAAAGAAGAGAGCCAGGACCTGTCAGAGAGCCCATGGGAACAACGTGGCGTGCAGAAAAGCAGCAAGGATCTGGCAAAGATTGACTCTCAAGGAACTCAGAACCCCACGAAAAGGGTAATAGCAGGGGCTTCTCTACTCCCCTTAGCCCTACAACAATCTGATAACCTCCAAAATGTTGGGGAATCCCTCTACCCTGGTGACTCCAGGTAATGATGTTGGTGGCAATTTGGGAAGTTCCTGGGGACAGGGATCCAGGTGGCTAGCTCACATAGGTGCAGCTGCACTCCGCACAGGCCCAAACTGAGGTGGTTGGTACCATACTGGTTGCACACCTGTTGTGGGCCACTGCTCTGCCTGGGGAACCTCATCCCTTAAGTTGCTACATCAACAGATCCCCTACAGAGATAACCTGCTATGACTTTGACAACCACAGGGGCTGTGTTTCCCTGGAAAGCTCGTCCTCAGCACAGGCCAGCTCTAGGGGATATGGGAGCACATCCCAGCAAAGCCACCCTTGAGAAAAAGGAAATGTGGGCATAGCTCTGGCCACCGAAGAAGGCGGGACCATCAACCATGAACAGATGTGGTGAGGGGGTCATCTCCCATTTCCCCTCCCTACTGTTGAAGATGTAGCAGAGGCTCTCACCATTGTGGGCCAGCAGATGTGCACTTGGAGACAGCCTTTCCAATGCTTTTCACCATGGCTGTACCCCCATTAAAAGTGAGCTGGCATTTCATGGGCTTCCAGGAAGGGTGGTGCCATTTGCCCCCTCTTTACACAGAGTAGCAATGTCCCAGCAACAGAGGGTAGACAAACCACAGAGCTGTCTGCTCTGGACTGAGGAAAGAGGCTCTGCTCTTCCCCAAGCCCATATTGGTGGTAGCCACCAGAGGAACATGATCCCTAGCTGGGGCAAGGAGCCAAAGGACAATGTCTATGTGTACTGACTGTCATAAGCCTTATGATAGGGACATGGTAGGAAAGCAGATTGCATTCCTGCTTGCCCAGGATGAGGAGCTGGTGCCGACCTCCACCACCCTACCCTCAAGACCTCAGTGCAACCCAACACAATCTCCCCTGCCTCCTCTGTCAGGACCAGAGCCTTCACTCACTATGAAGCTACCAGAGAGCAAGCCAGTACTTACTGTTAATCTCCACTTAACTGGACAGAAGACTGAACTGCACCACCAAATAAAAAGCTTGCTGTTCAGAAGGGTGGTAGTGTATGAGATAGGCTTCCTGAAATCTCTACACTCTCAGCCCCATAGGAGATAGTGTGTTGGCTCACCTGTCCAATACATCCCTACAACAAGCAGCATTGAAGAAAGCCATCACACAGGCCGGGCGCGGTGGCTCACGCCTGCAATCCCAGCACTTTGGGAGGCCGAGGCGGGCGATCACAAGATCAGGAGAACGAGACCATCCTGGCTAACACAGTGAAACGCCGTCTCTACTAAAAATACAAAAAATTAGCTGGGTGCAGTGGCGGGCGCCTGTAGTCCCAGCTACTCGGGAGGCTGAGGCAGGAGAATGGTGTGAACCTGGGAGGCGGAGCTTGCAGTGAGCCAAGATCATGCCACTGCACTCCAGCCTGGGCGAAAGAGCAAGACTCTATCTCAAAAAAAAAAAAAAAAAAAAAGAAAAAAGAAAAAAAAGAAAGCCATCACACAAAAGCTATCCACAACCAAGGAACTCATTACAGAGCCTTGGTCCCCTGAAAGGACTAGAAACGAAGCCAAAAGATGATAACAACATACACTACAGTCATACCTTCAAGGGAAAAAAGAATTAAAAAAAATAAGTCCCATTCAAATGATAGCAATTTTAAAAATAAGAAGTGACATCTCCTTCAGATGAAAGGGAACTAGCACAAAAAGTTCAGCAGTACGAGAAGATGAGTGTTTTGACACTCCAGTGGACCAGACTAGCTCCTAGCAATAGATGGTAACCAAAATGAAAATTCTAAAGTGACAGTTAAATTCAAAATATGAATTGCAAGGACATTCAATGAGATCCAAAAGAAATTTGGAAACCAACATAGAAAAACAAGAAAAACAATTCAGTATATGAAAGACAAACTAGTATACTTAAGGAAAAAAAAGAACTTCTGGCCTTGAAAAATTCACCTAAGGAATTTCAAAATACTGTTGAAAGCTTTAACAACATATTAGACCAAGCAGAAGAAAGAACTTTGGATATTGAAGATTTGTTTTTCAAAGTAACCCAGTTAGACAAAAATAAATTAAAAAGGCTTTTTTAACGAACAAAGCCTTTGAGAAATATGGGATCATATTAAATGACTAGACGTATGACTTACAGGCATTCTTGAGGAAGGAGAATAAAACATAAATAATTTGGAAAACATATTTGAGAGAATAATTCGAGAAAATTTCCCTAATCTTGCTAGAGAGGTAGATACCCAGATGAGAGACATTTAGATAACATCTACAAGATACCATACAAGATAAACCAAAGCATATGGTCATCAGACTATCCAAGTTCAACACTAAAGTAAAAAATCTTAACGGGCTATAGAAAAGGGTCAAATCATCTATAAAGATAAACCCATCAGACTAACACTTGACTTCTCAGCAGAAAACTGACAAGCCAGAAGAGACTGGGGATGTATTTTTAGCTTTCTTAAAGAAAAAAATGCTATTTAAGAATTTTATATCCTACCCAACTAACCTTCATAAATAAAGGAGAAATAAAATCATTCCCAGACAAGCAAATGATAAGAAAATTCTTCACCACTAGACTGGCTCTACAAGAAATGCTCAAAGTAGTTCTAAACACGGAAATGAAAGTAAGATAGTTGCTATCATAAAAACACACATAAGTACAAGTTTCACAGATTCTATAAAGCAATTACACAATTAAGACTACAAAGCAACTAGCTAGCAACACCGTGACAAGAACAAAACCTCACATATCAATATTAATCTTGAATGTAAATGGCCTAAATGTTCCACTTAGAAAATAAAGTTTGTCAAACTGGATAAGAAAAAAAGACTCAACCATCTGCTGCAATCAATAGACCCACCTATGAGAAATGACATCCACAGGCTTAAAGAGGTAAAGAAAGAACTATTATGCAAATGGAAAACAAAAAAGAGCAGGGCTTGCTATTCTTGTATCAGATAAAACAGACTTTAAACCAACTAAATTAAAAAAAAAAGACAAAGGATGGCATTATTTAATCATAAAGGAAGGAATTCAACAAGAAGACTTGACTATCCTAAACATATATATACTGAATACTGTGGCACCCAAATGTGTAAAACAAATAGTACTTAAGGAAACAGGTAGCCATACAATAATAGTGGGGGACTTCAACAACCCACTGATGACACTAGACAGATAACTTAGGCAAAAAACTAACAAAGAAACTCTTGACTTAAACTGGACTCTTGACCAAATAAATCCAATATATATCTACAGAACATTTGACCTAACAACTGCAGAATATACATTTTTCTCTTCTGTGCATTGAACATTCTCAAAATTGACCAGATGTGTTATGGTTTGGCTGTGTCCCCACCTAAAATCTCATCTTGAATTGTAATCCCCATAAATCCCATAATCCCCACATGTCAAGGGAGAGACCAGATGGAGGTAATTGAATCATGGAGGCAGTTTCCCCCATGCTGTTCTCATGATAGTGAGTTCTTATGAGACCTGATGGTTTTATAAGTGCTTGGTAGTTCCTCCTGGTTTCATTCTCCTTCCTACCACCTTGTAAAAAAAGGTGCCTTGCTTTCCCTTCTCCTTCCACCATGATTGTAAGTCTCCTGAGG
Organism: Homo sapiens; assembly: GCF_000001405.40. Lineage (NCBI taxonomy): Eukaryota > Metazoa > Chordata > Mammalia > Primates > Hominidae > Homo > Homo sapiens. Next base: position 104,999,777 of record NC_000003.12, read on the forward strand.
CCTCCTCAGCCATGCTGAACTGTGAGTCAATTAAACCTCTTTCCTTTATAAATTACCCAGTCTCAGGTAGTTTTTTATACCAGTATGAAAATTGACTGATACAGTACTCTTGATCACAAAGTAAGTCTCAATGAATTCAAATAAATCAAAATTATATGAAATATCTTCTTGGGTCACAGTGGAATACAGTTAGAAATCAATACCAAGAGAAAGTCTCAAAATCACACGAGTACATGGAAACTAAACAACTTGCTCCTAAATGGCCTTTGTGTTAACAACAAAAGTAAGGCAGAAATCAAATAAAAATTGAAACAAAAATAGAGACACAACATATCAAGCAACCAGTGAGATATGGCAAAAGTGGTAATAAGAGGAATGTTTATAGCTCTAAATGCTTACATCAAGATGACAGAAAGATCTCAAATTAACAACCTAATGTCATACCTCTGAAAAACAACAAATCAAACCCAAAGCTATCAGAAGAAAAGAAATAACAAAAATCAGAGCAGAACCAAATAAGATTGAGACCAATAATCCATACACAGGATCACCAAAATGAACAATTGTTTTTTTGTAAAGACAAATAAAACTGATAGACCACTAGTTAGACTGACCACGAAAAGACAAAATATAAGCACAATCAGAAATGATAAAGGTGACATTACAACTAATACCACAAAAATACAAAAGATCCTCACAGACTACTATAAACATCTCTATTTGCACAAATTAGAAAACCTGGAGGAAATGGATAAACTTCTGGAAACATAAAACTTCCCAAGATTGAACCAGGAAGAAATTGAAACCCTGAACAGACTAGTAATAAGTTATGAAATTGAATTAGTAATAAAAAACCTACCAATTAAAAAAAGTCCAGTACCAGGTGGATTCATAGCCAAGCTCTGCCAGATGTACAAAGAAGAGCTGGTATTGATCTTAGTGAAACTATTCTGCAAAAAAATTGAGGAGGAGGGATTCCTCCCTAATACTTGGAGGAATTCTACCAAATCAATATTATCCTGACACCAAAATTCAACAAAGACACAACAAAAAAGAAAACAACAGGACAATATCCCTGATTACTATACATGCAAAAATCCTCAACACAATACTAGCAAACTGAATCCAGCAGTATATCAAAAACATAATTCATCATGATCAAGTGGGTTTTAGTCCAAGGATGCAAGGATGGCTCCCTTAATGATGAGAACCCTCAACAAACTAGGCACTAAAGACCAATCTAGGACAAACCCACAGTCAATATATTGAACCAGCAAAAGTTGGAAGCACCCCCACTAAGAACTGGAAGAAGGCAAGGATGTCCATTCCCATCACTTCTATTCAACACAGTACTAGAAGTCCTAGCCAGATCTATTAGGCAAGAGAAAGAAAAACAAAGGCATGAAAATTGGAAAATGAGAAAGTCAAATTATCTCTCTCTTTGCCGATGACATGATCTTATACCTATAAAAAACCTCAAAGCAATTGCAAAGAAAATAAAAATAGGCGAAGGGACCTAATTAAACTAAATAGCTCTGAGCAGCAAAAGAAATAATCAACTGAATAGACAACCTATAGAATGGGAGAAAATAATTGCAAACTATACATCCAACAAAGGCCTAATATTGAGAATCTATAAAGAATTTAAACCAACAAGCAAGAAAAAAACAAATATCCCCATTAAAAACAGAGAAAAGGACATGAACAGACATTTCTCAAAAGATGACATAGACATGACCAACATATGAAAAAAATGCTCATCATCAGTAGTATCAGAGAAATGCAAATTAAAACCACAATGAGATACTATCTCACACCAATCAGAAAGGCTATTATAAAAAGGTAAAATAAAATAAAATAAAATAACATATGTTGACCAAGACACGGAGAAAAGGGAACACTTATGTACCATTGGTGGGAATGTAAATTTGTTAAACTCCTATAAAAAATAGTATGATGAATTCTCAAAAAACTAAAAATAGAACTACCATTTGACCCAGTAATGCCACTACTGGGTATCTACTCAAATAAAAAGAAATCTTTTTATGAAAAAGATACCTGCACTCATATGATTATCACAGCACTATTCACGATAGCAAAGTTGCAGAATCAACCTGTATCCATCAATGGTGGATTGGATAAAGCAAATGTGGTACATATACACCATAGAACACTACCTAGCCATTAAACAGAATGAAATCATGTCCTTTGCAGCAACATGAATGCAGCTGAAGGCCATTATCATTAAGAAAAATAGCTCAGAAACAGAAAATCAAATGCTACAGGTTTTCGCTTATATGTGGAATCTAAACAATGGGTATGGACATAAAGATGAAAATAATAGACATGGGGCCAGGAGCAGTGGCTCACGCCTATAATCCCAGCACTTTGGGAGGCCAAGGCAGGCAGATCACCTGAGGTAAGGAGTTCGAGGCCAGCCTGACCAACATGGAAAATCACAAAAATTAGCCAGGTGTGGTGGCGCATGCCTATAATCCCAACTACTTGGGAGGTTGAGGCAGGAGAATTGCTTGAACCTGGGAGGCAGAGGTTGTGGTGAGCCAAGATGGTGCCATTGCACTCCAGCCTGGGCAATAAAAGCAAAACACCATTTCAAAAAAAAAAAAAAAAAGAAAAAGAAAAAAAGAAAAAAGAAAGAAAAGAAAATGATAAGACACTGATGACTCCAAAAGGTGGGGAGGTTGGAAGCAAGGTGGTGAAGGTTGAGATATTATTTATTGGGTACTATGCTCACTATTTGGGTCATGGTCTCACTGGAAGCCCAAACCTCAGCATTACATAATTTGCACATGTAACATGCCTGTACCTGTACCCCCTGAAGCTAAATTTAAGAAAAAAATGTAATTTGCTAGCTGGGACTTGAGAAAAATATATATATATATTTCTATATACATGCAGAATGTGAAGAGACAGTAAGAGAGTACAAAATAGCTTTCCCCCTTGTTAATCTCTGCACATCCAATACAGAGAAAATAAACTAAACCCTTTTTATAAACTTATTTTGTTTTGGCACAATTATTCTATCATCTTATTTGGTAGCATTACTGTTCATATTCTTGAATATTATCTTAAACATTTGACGTAAATCCAAAGTAGAGACTGATCATTCACTGAAGCTGCACTTGGCTCTTACCCACTGTGTTAGTTTCCCATGGCTGCTGTAACAAATGATCGCAGACTCGAAGGCTTAAAACAGCAGAAAGTTATTCTCTCACAGTTCTGGAGAATGGAAGTTCAAAATCAAGGAGTCTGCAGGGTTGGTTCTATCTGGATGCACTGAGGGAGAATGTGTCCCCTGCCTCTCTCCTACCTTCTGGTGGATGACAGCAACACTTGGCATCCTTTGACTTGGGGCCAAATAACTCTAGTCTCTGCCTCCACCTTCACGAGACCTTATCTGTCTTCATGTGTCTCAAATCTGCCTCTCCTTTTTTAATAAAGACACTATTGACTGAATTTAGGGCCCACTCAAGTTCATGATGATCTCATCTTGGAGTCCTCACCTTAATTACATCTATAAACACCCTTCTTTCAAATAAAGGCACACTCTCCGGGTGGACATGGATTTTGGGAAGACACTACTCAGTCTTCCACACCATCTTAGCAATTGCTTCTAAAATAGTTCTGGTATCACCTATCCTTTTCCTTTGTAATGCTGTTGCTGCTTCCATCAGACACTACTATAATCATATCTTTTAAAATAGCCTTTGTGTTTTTACTTTTACATACTTTAAAACATTATTTTTTTTAAAGAAAAAACATTATTTTTTTAAAGAAAAAACATTCATTTTTTTTTTAAAGAAAAAACATTCATTATTTTTCTTTTCACCAAAGCAAACAATACTGGTAGAAAACTTGAAAAACATGGAAAATCAAAAAAGAGAAAGGAAAGACTACTTTTAATCTCACTCTCAGAGCCAAAATTTTTTTATATAGTCATGCAAAGGTTTTTTACTGGTTTATTCAAACATCCATATACATTTCTTACAAGTTAGAAATCATACTGGACATATTTTCTACACATTTTATTTATCTTAAATATTATATTTCATTTTATAACAAGAATATGTAGTTTTCTCATGTCAGAATTGGAGATTATAAACTTTAACAGACTACAAGCAATCTTACAATAACCCCACTTCATGAGGCTGACTGCTGAGACAGGAGAACCCCAGAAGACAAAGTTTCTCTAGGTCACACCATCTGAATGCAGAAGCTGAGAGACTTCAGAGGCATCCAGCCACAAAATCTATCACTCATGCTAAAGATTCATTATAGGAGTCTCAAAAGAGAGGGCTCTCAGAAAAGCCAATAAAAATATCTCAGAAGACACACACTGTGTGAAGAACTGCCATAGAAAGAATACCTACTGAAAAATTCCAATCCAATAGCACCAGTATTCCCTTTATGCTTCAATACTCATTCCCAGCCAATCCGGGATGAATTAGAACCAGTCTAGCAAGTGGACAAAAGTAGATCAGACAATAACCCTTTAACCATTCTCAGTAGGAGGAGTGGGAGAAAGGTAGGTTGAATTGATAAGAGAGGTAAAAAGTTTGACTTATATAAAACTAAATTTTTATTACATGTGAATGAGATGGTTGTACCACCACAATTGCTGACAAAGTGCTGAAATACACAAGAGATTTGCCAAAAACGGAAAGGAAAGGTACAATAGAAGTTAGCAAAACCATTAGGGAAGGAGATTTTTAAAACTATAGACTTCAAACTTCAGCTTGTTCAATGAACAGTCAGAATTGTTGTTCTATTGTTTATGCTCTTTCACACTTCCAGATGAATTCTAAAATTAATATGCCAATTTTCAAAAAGTTCTAGTGTGATTTTCAATATTTTTCTTTACTTTTAGAGATTTTGTTTTAAAACTGCTACATATAGAATTAAATCATCTAAAGTATGTTAACAGTTACCATAAAATAGTTATGCCTTGTACTTCACCTCTAACTTAACTTTTAAGTTAAGTGCTTCCCAGCTTTAAGACAGTATCATTGCTATAAATAGTACACCACCAAAGTTATATAGTATGTTCTTTCTGGTTGTTGGCTGATAAAATATTGTTATTTTAAAATAATTTAATATAGAGTATGGAAATATTTTTTCTGAATAGAATTTATGCAGTGTTTCGACTAATATTTATTTTGTGCTTATTCTGAGAGTCACTGTGCAATAAGATTTCAATGATCTGAGGTGAATAAACTCCTACCCTTAAAAGGTCATAATCGAATAAGAGAATAAAATATATAAACAAATACATGTGGCCGGGCACGGTGGCTCACGCCTGTAATCCCAGCACTTTGGGAGGCCGGGGCAGGTGGATCACAAGGTCAGGAGATCGAGACCCTCCTGGCTAACATGGTGAAACCCTGTCTCTACTAAAAATACAAAAAATTAGCTGGGCGTGGTGGCGAGTGCCTGTAGTTCCAGCTACTCAGGAGGCTGAAGCAGGAGAATGGCGTGAACCTGGGAGGCAGAGCTAGCAGTGAGCCGAGATGGCACCACTGCACTCCAGCTTGGGCGACAGAGCAAGACTCCGTCTCAAAAAAAAAGAAAAAAAAAAACAAAAAAAAACAAACCTTGTAATAGAAAGAGAATAAATTGAATGCAATCAACATGAAAACAAGTTCCATGAGAGAGAAGAAAAGAAAGCAAATGATTTTGATGAAGGCAGTCTAGGTCTTTCCAGAAAACAAGGCTCGTATGTTCAGAGACTATTTAAATTCATTTTTGAGGCTATCTAGACAGGCAACCTACAACTTAACAAGCTCAATAATTCTTATATTCTCTCTGCTACTGTGATTAAGAGGCATCCTAAAATTATAATTATTTAATTTTGAATTTATATATAGTCCCTAATATGTGGCATATTTCCTTAAGAAGCATTCCTTTTGCATTATCTGCTCATTCTCTGTTAGGTTAAACCTTCATGTTCCATGATGCGCCATCACTTTTGATATTTAGCTTGAGCCCAGATTAGCACATAGAATAAATATTTCCTCCAACATAACTTGGCAAAATTAATGATTTTTACATGGTTTCATCTGGTAAAATAAAGCATAGTGTATATGATTCCCAAAGCAGTGAAAATAAAATCTCTGTGTACCTCTGTGTTCTCAGAGGGTATTAAGGAAGCCAAAGCTACTTTTAAGGACGTGTATAGCTAACAGCCTTTGAATATACACAGCTCAGAAACTCTGAAGATTCTGGTGTACTAAGAGAAACTGTTCTCAGACACAAAAAGTGGTAAACTTCTTGAAAGTGGACAATTTTTATTGGTGAGGAGTGTTAAAATGTTAAAAACATGACCTTAATATAGTGCTATTTTTCACCTTTGAAATTACATTTCAAAAAGTGACAATTTTTAGAAGTCACTTCTACCTCACTGTAAAGGGTTGAATTTTCTTAGTATAAATAGAATCTGCACTTACAAAACACATAAATTAGAAGGTGATTATTTACACTACAAAGGATTCACTGCAGGGTTCCTTTAAGACTCTACTAGTGATTTTAAGTAATTGTTTATAGTTCATTAACTACTTTGTAGAAAGACTAGAGGGAGCAGACAGCCTTAATTCCAAAGATCAACAAGAAATAAAGAATAAAATATTTGGGAAATAGACACCTGAAGTATTGGGTATGAAACATCCTATTTTTTAAGATAAGGAGCTAAAAGAAAAAATACAAATGGCCCTATGTCATCCAGTTAGTTACCTGCATGAGCAAAGCAAAAACTCAGCTTTTTGGGTTCTCTGTCTGAAAGTCCATCCATTAAACAAAAACCAGCTAGATATGGCTTAGTTTGCAAAAATGTGACCACCAAAAGACTGTTCAGTAAGATATCAATTGCAGAGTGAAGACTTTTCATTTATAACTATAAATCAAGAATTGTTGATTTTATCACATTCTTTATCAGATCAAAAGCTAGGAATAGAAGGTTGAGCAGAAAGAGTACATAAATATTGTTTGAGAGCTTGGCATTAAAGCACCTCTTCTAAAAAAAATTAAAATTAAAATGATTTGAGAAACTAAGGGATAGCCCAAGGGATGCAATAGTCCATTTTCTAATTGACGCCTTGTGTTGCAAGTTGGGCTCTCCAGGAAAAAAACCTCAGATTGACTTTACTGCCCAGAATGTTTTAGGGAGTTCCCTTCAGATAAACTTGTAGACAAGTGGAAGAGGAAGTAAGAGCAGGTTGAGAAAGAAATGAAGCTACAATACAGGCAAGCCAAGAGCCTCAACCAAACATATGTGAAACTGTGGGATTAAAACAGCCTATCAGAGTATCTTGCCTTAGGCTAAAATGGTGGAAATATCTTTACCACCATCAGTCATTAGACGTGGGCCAGCCTGAGAAGGGAATGGCCTTGATGAGAGGGGCTTGCAGTCACTGTTGAATCCTTGCAGGTGCTGATAGCTAAAGACTGAGCACTACCAGCAGCTGGGGCAACATACATTTCCTCAAAGAGGGATCCATTCAGTGCATCTCCATGTCTATCATACCTTCAAATTCAGGATTTCATGTATAATCTTTGAAGATAGCTAGGTACAAATATCTGCTTTGTTCATACTAGCAATATGAGTTTGGGCAATTCATCTAAGAAAATTGGGTCTCAATTTCCTCATGTTTAAACCAGAGAAAATAATGCTTACCTCATAGAGTCATCTAAGTTCCATGCATAGCCCACACATGGTGGTCAACCCATAGCCAACATTATACTGAATGAACAAAAGCTGGAAGCATTCCCCCTACAAACCGGAACAAGACAAAGAAGTCCACTCTCACCACTCCTACTAAACATAGTGCTGGAAGTCTTACCCAGAGCAGTCATGCAAGAGAAAGAAAGAAAAAGCATCAAATAGGAAAAGAAGTCAAATTATCTCTCTTCACTGATGGTATGATTCTATGCACAGAAAACTCTAAAGACTCCACCAAAACTTTCCTCCAACTGATAAACAACTTAAAAGTTCCAGGATAAAGAGTCAGTATACAAAAATCAGTAGCATTTCTGTATACCAATAACATTCAAGCTGAGAGCCAAATGAAGAATACAATCCCATTTACAACAGCCACAAACAAAATACCTAATAATATATCTGGAAGTGAAAGATATCTACAAGGGGAACTACAAAACACTGATGAAAAAAATCAAATAACACAAACAATGGAAAAACATTACATGCTCATGGATAGCAAGAATCAATGTTATGAAAATGGTCATACTGCCCAAAGCAATCGTAGATTCAATGCTCTTCTTATTAGACTACCAATGTTATTTTTCACAGAATTAAACAAATCTATTATGAAATTCAATAGGTGCCGAAAAAAAAGTCCAAATAGCCAAACCAATCCTAAGCAAAAAGAACAAAGCTGGAGACATCACATTACCCAATTTCAAACTATTTTGTAAGGCTATGGTACCAAAACAGCCTGGTACTGGTATTAAAGTAGACAAATAGACGAAAGGAATAGAATAGAGAAGCCAGAAATAAAGGGACACAACTACAGCCATCTGATCCTTGAGAAAGCTGACAAAAACAAGCAATGAGGGAAAGGACTTCCTGTTCAATAAATAGTGCTGGGATAACTGGCTAGCCATGTGCAGAAGAACGAAACTGAACCCCTACCTTTCAGCATATACAAAAATTAACTCAAGATGGATTAAAAATTTAAATGTAACAACTCACAGTATAGGAATCCTAGAAGAAAATCTGGGAAATACCATCCTGGACATTGGCCTTGGGAAATAACTTAGGACCAATTCCTCAAGCAATTGCAACAAAAATAAAACTTCACAAGTGGGACCTAATTAAACTGAAGAGTTTGCACACAGCAAAAGAGACTATCCAGAGTGTAAATAGACATCCTACAGAATGGAAGAAAATATTGACAAACTATGCATCTGACAAAGGTCTAATATACAAAATATATAACAAACTTAGACAAATCAACAAGATAAAAACAAATAACCTCATTAAAACATGGAACAAAGGGTATGAACAGACACTTTTCCAAACAAGACATACAAGTGGCCAACAAACATAAAAAAAATGCTCAATATTCCCTAATCATTAGGGAAATACAAATCATGATGAGATACCATTTCATGCCAGTCTGTATGGCTATTATTAAAAAGTAAAAAAATAACAGATGTTGGTGAGGCTGTGGAGAAAAGGGAATGCTTATACACTGTTGGTGGGAATGTAAATTAGTTCAGCCATTGTGGAATGCAGTTTCTAGATATCTCAAAAGACTTAAAAACAGAACTACTATTTAACCCAGCCATCCCATCAGTGGGTATACACTCAAAGGAAAATAAATTGGTCTACCAAAAAGACACATGCACTCATATGTTCATTGCAGCACTATTCATAGTAACAAAGACATGGAATTGTGAAAGGAAAATCTTAGGCCCCCAAAATCACTAAACTAAAGGGAAAAATTCAAGCTGGGAACTGCTTAGGGCGAACCTGCCTCCCATTCTATTCAAAGTCATCCCTCTGCTCACTGAGATAAACACATATCTGATTGCCTCCTTTGGAAAGGCTAATCAGAAACTCAAAAGAATGCAACCATTTGTCTCTTACCTATCTGTGACCTGGAAGCCCCCTCCCACTTCGAGTTGTCCCGCTTTTGCTTCAAATTGTCCCACCTTTCTGGACCGAACCAATGTTCATTTTACATAAGTTGATTGATGTCTCCTGTCTCCCTAAAATGAATAAAACCCAAGCTGTGCTCTGACCACCTTAGGCACCTGTCATCAGGACCTCTTCAGGTTATCATGGGCACATGTCCTCAACCTTGGCAAAATACATTTTGTAAATTAACTGTGACCCCTCTCAAATTTTAGGGGTTCACATAATCAATCTAGGTGACCATCAGTGGTAAATTGGATAAATAAAATGTGGTACATAAACACTGTGGAATACTATGCAGCTATAAAAAAGAAAGAAATCATATCCTCTGCAGGAACATAGATGCAGCTAGAGGCCATTATCCTAAGTGAGATAATACAGGAAGAGAAAACCAAATATTGCATGTTCTTACTTATAAGTGGGAGCAAAACATTGGGACGTAAACACATGAATAATAAACACTGAGGACTGTTGGGGAGAGGGAAGGGTCGAAACCTACCCATTGGGTACTATGCTCAGTACCTAAATGATGAGATCATTTGTACTCCATACCTCTACATCATGCAATATACTCAAGTAATAAACCTATACATGTACTCCCTGAATCTAAAATAAAAGTCAAAATTATTTTTTTAAAAAAGACTACTTATTATAGATATGATTTACTGATTATTCTCTTAATGAATGAGATGGTGTTTTTATTACAAGTTTCTTCCTAATACTTATCTCTTGGAAGAAATATTATAGACTCATATGGCTTAGGGTAGCTTGGATCTGAGATTATAAAAATTATCTTAAAATTTTCAAATTATGAAACAGAACTTCAAGGTCTTAAGAATATATATAAACACACAAATATATGCGTGTGTATATAAATGAATGTATATATGTTTATTTGTATATATTCATCTATATTCACAAATAAATATGTATTTGTATATATAATATATATATAAATAAATACACAATAACTCCGATAAAGTTCTCATCCTTACTGACTGCATATGGTAGTTACCTTTATTTTCTCCATTTCATAGGTGAGAATACATAAATTTAGTTAAATTAAATTATTTGCTCATATCAGTTTGAGTATAAGACCCCAAATCTAATACAATATACTTATTTGTCAATGCTGGAGAACTTAGACAATCTTGGGATTGCAGCTGGCACATAGTAGACAGTCAATAAATTAATAATTATTTTCACATGCTTGCATGTGCATCCATATCTCTGCAACTGGATTTTCAGTTCCCTAAAGGCAATGATCATATGGCTCTGGCACCTAGGATGATGCCTTATATATAATACACGTTCAATGATACTTATTTTATGATTGAAAGCTCTAAGGAGCTTGTTATAATACCTTCTAATACCACAAATGTCTATTCAAATGCAACCTTTCATAAGAGAACATTATTCAGTAGAATAGTAGATGGTCCCTAAACACGTCTCTATATATGCATCATGGAATCAAATCAGAAATATTGGATACAGGTTTTAATCAGAGTTCCTCAATAATTGATACAAAACACAGTATGAAAACACGATATTTTAAAATACTGTAATTCACATAAAAGTACAAAGTTAAAATAAATATAAGTCAATTAAATGTTTAACTTTCCTTACTTTTTGAGTTTGTTGTGGTTCCGATTTTCAAATATGTATTAGCTTTTCTTTTACTGTACATATAATTGAATCCTTTCTTTTCTTTATGGTGGCCTTTAGATAGACAGCTCTCTTCTTGCTGTATTTATTTGGGGAGACTTAGATGGCTAACAAAAATATACATCTTTTATTCTTATGAAGGTAATGATATATTACCATACAGAAGTTGAGAGAAGAATAAAAACATAGGAAACTACAGTAAGAAATACAAGATCTATACTATTTTTAATGTAAACGCAGTTTTGTGAAAGAGGATGTTTGTAAAAGAGAATCAAGAAAGAGGTAAATAAATAAGAAGGAAAAGCTCCATCATAGCCCTGTTTTTTCAGAAATGTTACATAGTTTCTGATATAGAGATAGAGAATAAAATTATAATAGAATTTAAAAATAGAATTTTTCCTTAACAAGTAAATAAAAATATTAGAGCCTGTAAACCTATTTTAAAATAGGACTTTACACAGATACACCTGTGTAGTAATTCATTATTTAAAATAAACCAAACAACTGAGCAAAATAATGAAATAAATAAACCAAATGAAAAGAAAATAGGAATAAATAGTAGCCATCGTTCAGAGTGATGAGGGATGAGGCAATTTAATATTTACTATGTTTCAACAAGGTAAACGTTGGCAAACTTAAACTTCAAAAAGTGTTGAAAGAAAGACAGAAGTGCTGGTGAGCTCTGAGAAAAGTTTTACTAGAAAATAAGTGAAGCATAGAGGAGCCGCTGAAATAGGCATGAAGTTAGGAAATGAAGGCAGTGCTCGGCAAATATTCCAAAAAGGGGTAGAAGAGTTTATATGTAAGAAATAAAAGAGAAAAAATAAGTGAGGGGTATGAAGTTCGTGGTTTTGTTTTGCAATTTTGACATTGCTGCAACACCTAAAAGCTATTCTTGTAAGGAATTTACCACCACACTCTGATACGACATAGTATCAGTAGTATTTGGGGAAAATGTATATAGAATAAGAGCGGAAAATAAGATGCCACTTACTGAGTTTTATCTTACGTCATCTTCACCATAACCCTATGATTACCAATTTATAGATAAAGAACAGGAGGGACACAGTAATTAACAAAATCCCCATGGTCTGAGAATAGAAGAGTCAGAATTTTTACCAGGTGTAACAACAAGACCAACGACTAGATGAATTCGTATTTCAGGCCAAGGAGTTTGAATTTAATTCTTTAAGAATCAAGGAGCCATTGCAGGTTTTTATTCAAGTTATAGAATTCTCTTATCAATAACTGTGCCTCATTATGATTGGGTAACTTAATTATGATAGCATCAAAATATCTGCTCACTGCCTGTTGAGAGTTTTCACACAGAGAGGGAAGGCCAGGCAGTACCAGGCAGTTTCTCTGAGCTGAGAAGGCAGGTGAGAGTCCTGGGAAACCAAGGAACCATCTGCCTACAAAGGCAGAGCCCCACAGAACACTCCCACCAGGCCTGGGCATTGCAGTTTACTGTCTCAGAATTTCCACTGAGGCTACAAATACTAATCTCTAGAATTTGTGTCACTTTCAGGAAACAATGTTGCAAATTCCATAGGTGAACCACACAATTATTGTTCCTTTCTTTCCAGTAATAGAGGACAGATAATTGGCCTCTATTGTTTGTTTTGCATCTATTTTAAGATCTCCATGTGAGAAGAAAATGTAGGTGCTGGGCAACCTAAATGGCCCTACAAGCATGGAATAAATATAGCAAGCACCATTGAAAGCTTCCTCTGTAGAAGAGCTACGGGCTTCCCATTGATGGTTTCATTAAATCCTTACAATAGCACCATGAGGTAGGTATGGTTATTATATTCAGTTTTACACGGTGGGAACAAAAGATTTAGAAAAGTCAAATAATTTTTGCCTGTATAATAAGTGATGATGTCAGAATTTGAAGAAATGTAATTCCTTAAATTGTACTATTATCCAGTGCATATACCATCTCTCAAATAAGGCAGCATTTGCTACATAGTTGACAAAAGGAAGGAGTGTGGCTATACCAGTTAAAATGCATCTCCATCCCTGGAAAGAACAGTTCAAAAACAAGTGAAAGACAGTTTTTCTACTAATATTTTTTAATTCTTATAGCACTTGACCCAATATTTTGCATATACTGCATACTCATAAATTGTTCCACACATTTTTTTTTTTTTTTGAGATGGAGTCTCGCTCTGTCGCCCGGCTGGAGTGCAGTGGCGCGATCTTGGCTCACTGCAACCTCCGCCTCCTAGGTTGAAGTGATTCCCCTTGCCTCAGCCTCACAAGTAGCTGGGACTACAAGCGCCTGTCACCATGCCCAGCTAATTTTTGTATTTTTAGTAGAGACGGGGTTTCACCATGTTGGCCAGGATGGTCTCAATCTCTTGATATCGTGATCCGCCTGCCTCGGCCTCCCAAAGTGCTAGCATTACAGGCGTGAAACACCGTGCCCTGCCTCCGCAAATTTTTTTTTAATTCAGAATGTGTGATTATATAAGAAAGAAAGAAACAAGACAGAATAATTTCTTATTTTTCAAAGAATCCTCTCCTTCAACTATCATTCACGGAAGCATTCTGGTCTTCCAAACTAAGCCCTGATAAAACATTAGGAACAAGTTTAGAATTGTGAAATCACCTACACTTCCTTCTCAAGACCAATGGAATTTCACCCTAAGTGAAAAGACACAATTCTGAATAGCTTTGAAACGTGATTTTCAGCACTTAAGCCACTTAAGTCAGTGCTGAATATTACTAGCATTACAGAGAAAGAAAAATACGCAGCTGGTAGATTCACAATACAAGGACTTGATAAAGAAGCTTCCTTGCAGATGAATAGGAAGGGCCACCTGGTCCTAGTGTGACAATCAATAGAGATATTGTGGTGCAGCACAAGCCCCTGCAGGTTAATGAAAGGGACAGAAAAACCTGGAGGGGGAAAGGTGGCAAAAATGACAAAAAAGGTTCAATGATAAAATGTAGGGAAATACTGAGAGGGCAGAGTATCTCTCTAGGAGGTCACAAAAAATGACTAGTAGACACTTGATCAAGGTCTGTAACTTCAAGTTAAAAACATAAATGAAGTAAGGGAGTTATTCAGAATCTCTGAATATAGTAGGGAAAAGATCAGTGCCTTGGAACTAAAAAGAGGTACTTTGAACTAATATTTTGGGGGCAAAAGTTTTTTTAATACTTTGAACAATTGGACAATAGGCTTAACCCCTAAGGGAATCCCATGAATGGATCTTAACTACAGACAGTGTATGAAAGGTCGGAGATGAAATCAACCAGACCCAGGGACTAAGTTGCTATCACAGTGGTAAGAATCAAGACTGTCCTTTTGCAAGTAACAAAGATTCTATCACTTAAAAAAATTCAAAATATTTTGTTTGCTTAATCAAACACAGTAACTCCTTTGGTGCCTTTTGAAGATTACTGTCACAATGCAAGTTCAACTTTAAATGAGTGTGAATAATAATGGGACTCTGCATTGGGTATTCAATGCATAACTAGAGGATGTTACATAATGAATTGTGCTTATTGAAGGTTCACTCACTATAGATTCTGTAAGCATGTGTTTGGTTTATCATAGCTCCTTTGAGTAGATTCTAATCAGCCACATCAATGTAATAATGTGACTAGGTGCTTCCTACTCCTTACACTTGCCTATCACCCATTACTGACTGTCTTGAAATGTTTAGTCATTCGGTACTCAACTGGGTTAGAAAAAACAAACAGAAGCTCTGCTGAATGCTACTTACTTGCCAACATATTCACTGGCAGTTTTACCCAAATTCTATAAGGACAGTGGATTGCAAAATATTTTAACTAGAAATGCATGAATTGTCCTTCACTTGTTTTATCAACCTCAAACTAAATGCATGCAGATGAAGTCTGGTTTGTGAAAAAGTCTTTATAAACATTCTTATTTCCTTTAGGCCAGGAACTTGGTCTTTGGGAACTTTTATAAAGCCTGTGTATGCTATTTATCAGAGAGCTCCTAATCTTTATTTTGTTTTATTTTTTAAAAAATCAAGAAAAGCGAAACCACCTCCTTTCTTTCTCATAAACTGCAGCTTTGAAAATTATTTGTTTTGTCTACCTACTAAGCACCTACTTAATATTGTGTAACTAGTATAACCTGTACACAATAAATTATAAGAAATAATAAGTACTTTTCTATATGCAAATATAGATGTAATTTTTTAAAGTCACATGAATAAGTTACTTTACTCCATCACTTTTACAACTGAAGGATTTAATACTGAGTAGTTTATAACTTGCCTAGGATCTTATAGTTATTTGAATAACAGAACTCAAATTCATGTCTTTCTGATGCCAATGTTCATACTTTTTAATACCCTTTTACACAGTCTCATATTTACACCATAGAGACTTATGATCCCTATACCAGGAAATGTATTTGACTTTGTTCCATTTCCATTAATGTAGTGATATTCCCTTGTAATCAGAGACAGTTTCTCATTAACCTGTGTCCCAGTGTAATATTTGACTTGTTGTACACAGTAAACAGTTGATGAGTAAGTAGTCACTGCTATGGTTTGAATGTTTTTGTCTCCTCCAAATGTATGTATTGGAAACTTAATCTCCAATGTAACAATGTTAGAAAGTGGAGCCTAATGCAGGGCAGAACCTTCATAAATGGATTAACGCCACTATAAAATGGCTCTCTGGAGTGAGTTCTCTTTTCCTGCTCTTATGCCATGTGAGGAAGGAGAAAGAAGGTCCTAACCAGATGCCAGTGTCTTCTTCTTGGACTTTCCAGCCTCCAGAACAGTGGGAAATAATTTTTTGTTCTTTATAAATTACCAAGTCTCAAGTATTCTATTACAGCAGCACAAACAGACTAATAATGTCACTAAGGATGTGAAACAGGAAATTTCTTTTTTTCTATTCTATTAGAGGTAAAACTTTATTTTCTTGCACTTATGACATACCTTGTTCTTTTAGAAAGTTTCAGGCTCCACTTTCACTGCCTCCCTTTTCCTAACCTTGACCAGATCCTTTACATATGGCCACAAGGTTATATAATATAATAATGGCTTTGAAGTGTAAAAATTATGATTTCATATTATAATTTCTCAGTAACTTTGTGAAACTGGACAGGTTTCTAAACTGTGTTGAGTAAAAACCTCCTAATATAAAAACTGAGGGTGTAGGTATAGGTGGTGTTATGATATTTGGCCCCAAAATGGTACAAATAGTAGGCACTCAATAATGTAATAGGTGATATCTTATTACCAAACATCTTAATTATAACCAATTATGAGACATATATTTTAATAATAAACTTCAGGAAATATGTATTAGTATATGATATTACCATGCACCAAGTCTAGTCTGGATTTTACTAGAGTTCAATATTAGTCTAGCAACAATAAAAGATATAATGTCTCTGCTCTCAAGTGGCTCCAGGTGTAGTGGGAAACACAGATAATGAAAAAAATAATTATACAACAATATGCTACAATAATGGTATGAGCAGAGTGCTACAGGAACACAGAGAAAGGAACAATTAACTGTCCAGGGTCAGAGTAACCTCAGGTAAGATAATTTAGAGGAACAATTAATTTAAAAAAAAAACACATAGTTTTCCAAAGAACAGGTAATTCTGTTGTGAGCTCATTAAACAAAGACAATACTAAAAGCCCAGAATTTCCGGTAAGCTAGAATGTGACTAGCTTGCACTGTAGCATAAAGACCCAGAACCATAAGAACACTTTCTTTAGTATTTATTATTAATTTTATGATGTGATATATAGGCAAACAAGTGAACTTGCAAGATGAAAGGTCAACATTGCTGACTTAAAGAGCACTGAACTCCTTAACGGAAAACAATGACTTTGACTACACACTTTGAGAATAGATCACGAGTCTTAATTTTATGAAATGTCTCAAATCTTGGCTTAGTGCCATCACTGATTTTTATTTGAAGTCACGTGTTAAAAAAGAAGAAAAATAAATAAATATAAATATCATCAAAGAAAGAAAGGCAGGAATTTTTCCATGAACAAGAGGCCAAATTTCCAACATCATAGTAGCACAAGCAAGTGGTATGAGAATGTCATTAGAGTTTAGTGTGTTTCCACAGATTTACCTCAACTTTTTCTGCATTTACCTTTAGTGGATTTAAAAAGAATTGTGTGAAATTAAATGTGTCTAAAAGGTATTAAGGAAAAATTATATTTTTTCTTCCAAATTTTAAATTATGAAAAGATAATTGGAAAAAAAAATAAGTCTTTGAGACCCATAGAATGTACAACTCCAAGTGGGACCATCACTTCGGTGACGATGATGTGCCAAAGTAGGTTCATCAGTTGTAACCAATATACCACTTTGGTTGGGATGTTGATAATGAAGGGGCTGTGCATGTGTAGGGACAGGGGCATATGGGAAATCTCTGTACCTTCCTCTTAATTTTGAGGTGAGTCTACCACTGCTCTAAAAACACAAAATCTTAAAAACTAAAATAAAAATGTCTTTATAGCCATTATTTTCCATCCCTATGCCTATTTTCTTAACTCTGAAATAAGGTGGCTTTATCACCATTCTAATTCTACAATTTATTTCTATTTCTAGAAAACTAAGACTTTCAGCATCACCAGCAACATTGTCTGCTTTTAAAGAAGCATAGAAGCACCTCCTCAATTACAGATTAAGTGAGCCACGATAGTGGAATAATTTTTTAAATTGCAGTGATTTGAGCTTTTCCAAAAATTGCAGGATAGTTATTTTTTATTTCTGTTGAGTTGAGGTAGATAATTTGTTTTAAAATGCAGTGATGCAACCGATACGTACATTGAAAGAGTTACTAAGGCTATTTACAAACTTGCTATTTTTACAACAGTTCTAGTTATTAAATGCACATTATGTGCTTGGCATTGTCATTCTCTGTACACATTTCATTTCATTTCGTCCCCACAGCCATCTTATTAGGTAGGTATTATAACTGTTTCCATTACAAGATGATGAAAGTAAGATTCAGAAAATGGAAGTGACTTGTCAAGAACATAGAATTAATTCATATCCCAGGCACAATTTTAAGCTGAGTCTTTTTGATTTTACACCACCAATCACGTCTCTTAATCATGAGCTTCAGATGTAGCGTTAATAGAAGAGTTTATTTATAGTTCTGTATTGTTTGGATGTTGCCCTAAGAGCTTATTACAATTGTGGACAGTAAAACAATAGATATTTCTAATTGCAAGCCATTTATATTTGTGATAATATATGTATAATAACTCCATGAAGTCAGACACTCAGTCTGGCTCTACTGTCATAGAGTCCACCATAAGTTAAAAACACCTGGCACATGGTAAGCCTGCAATAGGCACATAATGTACACATTTGCCAAATCATTGAATTTTGCTGGACTAACAACAGCATCAAAAAGGAAAGTTTAACTCAACAAAAATAAAAATACGATTTGCTCATCCTTTATTTAAGGTTTCTCATGGAAGTCCAAAGATAGGCCTGGATTCATAAGCCCAACCCAAATTACCTTAATAACACAGCAATAAAATCCAATCACAATTCCCTACAGAGATTTTGCACTCCAATGACTAGTGACTAGAACTGTCCTTCCACTCAAGCACATTAATTGTATACTCTGCATCTAGTAGTGACTCAGAAGTCTTTTGTTTCCCTAAATGGATGGTATTATTTTAAAAAGTTAAACAATGAAACAAAAGTAATTCTCATGTAGAATAAGCAAGTGACAATGGCAGCAGTAGACCCAAGGTGCTTGGTTATTAGTATTAATCTAAAACTCCCTCAACTATCATACTCTACTGTGGCTATGTAGAACCTATTGGCATTCTGAATATAACTTTTTAAAATGACTCTTCCTTAAACAGTTAAAATAAAGAGAAGACTTCTCACCACAAAATGTTTATGCATGCAAAAAGCCTTATTTGGTTTTCATAACCAATAGAAAACTGTTATTTTTTTTAAAAAAAAAGCTGGCTTTGGTCTCAGATTTCCACAAATCTGTTTACTCCCTCCACCAAAGTCCATATTTCCAAATTGTCTGTGTTACCAATTAAACCTAGACAATATTCCCTATGAAGTTTTATCTGATAGGAATACTAGACCTGCAGTTCTATGAGACATTTCTTTCCTCCCAGTTTTAAGAGGTGGTGTCTGTATGATGTTCCCAGGCTTGCTCAGGGTTGAATTGGCTTATTAAAAATTCCTGGCCAGGCGCGGTGGCTCACGCCTGTAAAAGCACTTTGGGAGGCCAAGGCAGGTGGATCAACTGAGGTCAGGAGTTCGAGACCAGCCTGGCCAACATGGCAAAACCCCGACTAAAACTCTACTGAAAATACAAAAATTAGCCCGGCATGGTGGCGCATGCCTGTAATCTCAGCTACTAGGGGGGCTGAGGCAGGAGGATAGCTTGAACTGGGAGGCAGAGGTTGCAGTGAACTGAGATCGTGCCATTGCACTCCCATCTGGGCAACAGAGTGAGACTCCGTCTCAAAAACATAAAAAATAAAATTCCTTACTGACTTGTATTAATATAATACAAGAATATAATACAGAGAACACAATCCAGCACAAAGTACAAATTTTTATTCAAATAATTCTATTAGCATAATTATCTTTTTTGAGGAAATTAAATGTACATTATTATACTTGATGTGCCACAAATTATAAAAGCAAAAAATTTCACTTGTAAGGTTCTGCAGTTCTCCAGTAATTAGCCATATTGCGCCCTGGAAACTAAAATTAAATACATAGATTAAACCAGAGGGGGAGATAATAACATTGTCAAGGGGGTCCAGATTTACTGCAGCATATTGTACCTGAGGCTCAGCCTTAGAAGAGCCACTGTGGGCTCGGTCACACAAGAATCAAACCAGGTTTCCCATAGATCTGAGCTAGTGACTGAGATAATCACTTGGCATGGCACTCCACTAAAGGAAAATTCTATCTCTGATCAAATCGTATATATGCAAATAGGTCTCTTCTGCCTACTTTCTGAACATTGTTCAGTCCCTTAATCTTGTGATACTCAGGGTATGAATTCAGCAGCAAGGTATTACATAAATTCAGCACTAAGGTTAATATCCTTTCCAATTTATACAAAGGAAACTTTCAGCTATTAGTTTTCTAAAGTCACATACACAGAGACATAACAAGGATGTTCACTGGAAGTAGATTTTGTTGAATTTATAATATTTGTATTAGCTACAGTTAGTGATAATTGGTCCCCAGATGACAAGCCTAGGGAGTACTCTGTCTACTAGCTAATGATACTTAGTTGGATGGAAAGATCAGTCTGACGCTAAGTTTAAAAGCAAAAAGAATAAAAAGAAACATGAAGTTCCCATAACGTTTTATTCCCCTCTGCATAGTCATTCTTTCTGATAAGATGGGAGATAAGTAACAAAATAACACTATGTATTAGGTTTTTCTTTGTGAGCCTCAGGCACATAGTGAAACCCAATTTAAACACATATTCTCTGACTCAAAAAGACAAAATGGGTAGGAGTAGGAGGCTGTCTCCCTAGTAATGTTGGTACCACAGCGTCAGCCAATATTCCCCATAAATACCTGAACACCCAGTCCATAGATGTTCATTTCAGCCACATGTTCTTTTCAAATAAAATCTGCATTGCTAGAGTAGGAGAGATTTTATGGTATAAGCTAATAATAATAATTATTATTATAATTTATTTATTTATTTTTGAGATGGAGTCTGGCTCTGTCACCCAGGCTGGAGTGCAGTGGCACGATCTTGGCTCACTGCAAGCTCTGCCTCCTGGGTTCACGCCATTCTCCTGCCTCAGCCTCCCGAGTAGCTGGGACTACAGGTGCCCGCCACCACGCCCGGCTAATTTTTTGTATTTTTAGTAGAGACAGGGTTTCACCGTGTTAGCCAGGATGGTCTCGATCTCCTGACCTCGTGATCCACCCATCTCGGCCTCCCAAAGTGCTGGGATTACAGGCGTGAGCCACCAAGCCTGGCCAATAATAATTATTGTATTATTATTAATAAAAAAGATAGATAATAAAAAAGGAAGATAATAAAAAATTTAAAATCAGCACTAAATGTGACAATCTTTCAATCTCATTTCAATGCTCACCAGAGAGCATTCTTCATTAAAGAGGCAGAAACGACTAGTGCTAGCACAATGGATGCATGGTGGCAGGTATGGAAGCTACAAATGAGGCCAATGTCATGGGCATGTACTCACCAAGTCAGGAGATACTGCTATTGTCTAATGCCCAAACTGCCAGCAACAGAGACCAATGCTGAATCCTTGATAGACACTATACCTCAAGGTACCAACCAGCCTATTGATGGTATTTTGAAATTCAGTTCTGGAGGGGTCAAGAGATTTATTTTGACTAGATTCAATATATATTCTGCATATGGATTTATTTGCCTTTTCTGCTCACCGAACCATTATTTGAGACTTTCAGCATATTTGATCCAACAACATGAGATCCTAATAACATTATATCAATAAAAGACGCACACGTTACAGCAAAGATTTGTGGAATTGTGACCATAATGTCCAAGTTGTCCTATCACATACAGTACCACCCAAAAGTATTGGCCTGATAAAGCTAGAGAATATAATTTGATGGCACAACTGAGGCACCAGCTTGAAGATGATATCCTGAAAGGGAGAGAACCATCCTCCAAGATGTAGTATGTACTCCTGTCAGTGATCCTTATATGGTATAATGTCTCCAATAGCAAAGGTGTTGCTATAGTATAAATCTTTGTGTCCCACCCCCACCAAATTTATGTATTGAAAACTAATCACCAAGATGATGCTATTGGAAGGTGGGTTAGGGGAGGTGATCAGATCATGAAGACAGAGCTATCATGTATTGAGTTAGTGCCCTTATAAAAGAGTCCCCAAAAAGCTGCTTTGCCCTTTTACACCATGTAAGGATACAGTGAGAGAGTGCCATCTATGAACCAGGAAATGGATCCTCAGTGGACACTGAATCTGCCAGTGCCTTGATCTTGGACATCCCAGCTTCCAGAACTATGAGAAATAAATTTTTGTTGTTTGTCAGCCACCTAGTCTACAGTATTTTGTTACAGCAGCCTGAATGAGCTAAGACAGATTTAGTCCATGCTTTCATATTAAGAAGTGAGTGTGCTGCTATAACAAATACCTAAAAATGTAGAAGCAGCTTTGAAACTGAGTAATAGGTAGAGGCTGGGAGAATTTTGAGGTGCATGCTAGAAAAAGCCTACATTGTGGTGAATGGGCTGTTACAGATGATTCTCGTGAGGGCTCAAAAGCAAAGAAGTAGATCTATAGAGAAAGTCTCAATCTTCTTAGAGACTACATGAGTGTGAACACAATGTTGGTAGAAATATGGACAATAAAGTCTATTCTAATGAGGTCTTAGACTGAAATGAAGAACATATTACTGGAAACTAGAGGAAAAAGCAATCCTTGCTGTTAAGTAACAAAAAACTTGGCTCAATTGTTTGTATCCCAGTGTTTTGTGGAAAGTAGAACATGTAAGGTGTGAAATAGGATATTTGGCTGAAGAAAAGTGTAAGCAAAATGTTGAAGGTGTAGCTTGGCTTCTCTTGGAAACTTATGGTCAAATGTGAGAAGAGATAAATGATTTAAAGACATATGAATTTAATCAAAAGGGAAGGAGAATTTTAAAATTTGGAAAACTCACAGCCCATCCATATTGAAAGGAATCAGAAAGTATGTTTGAAGGAAACCTGGTGGTGTGGCCAAATGTCATCTGATAAAGAGATTACACAGTCATCTAACCAGAAGCCAGAACCTATTGTTTAAGATAATGGAAGAGTGAATCTGAGGGCATTCTTTAGATTCTCAGGGCTATCCTTCCAATCACAGGACCAGAGGGCCAGAGCCTGGAGGACAGACTATTTCAAAGGAGGGGCTGTGGGCACACACGGGGCTTCAAGGCTCAATGCCTTACACTGCCATAGGGCTCTGTTCCCTGAGTTATGGTGCAACACTCCTCGGCTACCCCAGTGGACATGAGTTCTTACTCATCCCACTTTCAGTTCTGGGGACTCAGGACACAGTTCTGTACAGTACAGGCCATAGTGATTGCCCCTTCAGAGGCATAGATGGTAAACCTTAGCAGTGTTCTGGTGATGCCATCTTCATTGGCTTGCAGAATACACCTAGATTTTAAAGAATGGAGCCAACCAGGGAAGGGCAGAGGGCTAGACAGAGGACCACTGCAAGAGTAGGTCCACAGAATCCCAACCAGGACAAAGCTTAATAGAGCTGTGAGGGTAGGGTTTCCCCAGGACCCCAGACCAGCAGAGCTACCAGTGTGTGATTCCAGCATGGGATAGCTTCAGGCATGCAACTCTAACCTATAAGACATGCAATGTGAGCTGCCCCCAGCAAAGCCACATGAGTAGAGCTGCCTTGGGAGCCCAGTCCCCACCACAGTGTGTCCAGCAAGAGGAACATTGAGTCAAAGAACATTCTCAAGCCTTAAAATTTTATGTTACTTGCTCACTTGGGTTTTGGACATTCTTGGGATCTGTTACTCTTTTTTCCTTTCTTCTTTCTTTCTTCTGGTACTCTATGCCTCTCCCACCATTGTATTTTGGAAGAATATAACTTGTTTGACTTCACATGCTCACAGCTGGAGAGCAATTTGCCTCTGGATGAATCATACCTTCAGTCTCACCCATATCTGATTGAGATGATACTTGGATGAGACATTGGACTTAGATGCTAACTGATGCAAAAATAAGTTAAGATTTGGGGGGTTACTAAGATGGAATAAATGTATTTCACAGGCAAGAAGGGCAGTAATTTCAAGAGGTTGGGGCAGAATGTTATAGTCTAAATGTGCATCCTCCAAAATTCATATGTTGAAACCTCATCACCAATATGATGGTATCAGGAGGTGAAGACTTTCAGAGATGATTAGGTCATAAGAGCATAACTCTTTGGACAGCATTAATCCTTATAAAAGAAGTTCCATAAAGCTGCTTTGCTCCTTTCCACCATGTGAGGAGTACACAGTGGGAAGGTGAAATCTATGAATCAGAAAATGGCCCTAACCAGATACTGAACCTTTGTTGACTTTCTCTTGGGATTACCAATCTCCAGAACTATGAGAAATAGATTTCTGTTGTTTGTAAGCCATGCAGTCTATATTGTTCTGTTATGGCAGCTCAAACAGACTTGGGGGTCTAGAGATTAAAGGGTGGAATCAGAAATGGCCCCATTTACCGTCACTCTCAGTGACCCACTTGGGTGATTGCACTTCCAACTCTACAACTCAAGGCTTTGTGACTTCCGAGGTCTTGCTCTCCAGACTAAGAATACTTCCATTTGGAGACATGGTAACACAGCTTAAGTAATATTAACCTATGGCTGGCACCTGAGCACTTTAGGTTCTGTGCTGAGATATCAGCTTGCAAGCAAAGCAGTCACTATATGACAAGTGCAATTGATCCTGTGCATCAGGAGCAAGTATGGCTGCTGTTTCACAACGTGAGAAAGTTAAGACTGGTAGCTAGGTGATCCACCTGGATGTTCCTTTTTATTCCTTTGCTCTCATTTAAATGATATAAGAACAAGTGCAATAGCCACAACCCAAGAAGAACATGGCGACTAGGGGCTAAAGTCTCTCACAGATTATGGTCTGAATTGTTTGATTTCAGAGGAACTAACCATGAGTGGATAACAGAATAAATAAATAATAAATCATGAGTATCAATTGTAGTCTCAATATCAGCTGCAGCTGCAGAAGATGTAATGTATCCCACTAGCAGTCCTCTTACAAATTTATCTCAGGAAAAGAGTACCACCAGAATCTTGAAGGAATTGCTCCCAGAAATAATATAAAAAAATGAATCAAAGTAGTGCATAGTGTGGACTTCACTAGATGCATTGCTGCTGCTCAGATTCCCTAATTCTTTAAGGACTGAAGAACGCATTTGCTCAAGCTTCTAGGATTAAGTAGTTGATGTAGCCTGGACTCTTCCTTAATGTGAGAAAATTCTAAATGTCATCCTACTCCAGAGCTGCTTGTGGGATTAAATGACTCCTTTGTTGTGACCGTACCAAAGCCCAATGTCCAGGGTGTCTCTCTGGCCACTCCTGTTTTCTTTAGTCTCCTACAATGTTGATTTTTTTTTTAAATCCCGCATATAAATATCTACCTTAGAATCTGCCTCACAGGAAGATGTACCTATGGGAATGATACAATAAGAAACTGATACCAAAGTTCGCATTAGTTTCCTAGAGTTGTCATAATTTCCCACGAACAGACTGGCTTAAGACAACAGAAATGTATTATCTTGGAGTTCTGGAGTCTAGAAGTCCAAAACGAAGGTGTCAGAAGGCGTGGTTAATACTGCAGGTTATAAGATAGACTCTATCTCGTGCTTTTCTCCTAGCTTCTGGTGGTTGCTGGCAATTGTTGGTATTCTTTGGCTTGTAGGTACATTATACCAATCTCTGCCTCCATTTTCATACGGTCTTGGTCTTCTTCTTTATGTGTTGCTGTGTCAAGATTTCCGTCTTCTTAAATTATAAGGACACCGGTTTTTGGATTAGGCTCCACCAGAATTTAGTATGACCTCATCTTAACTTGTTTGCATCTACAAAGATTCTTTTTCCAAATAAGTTCACATTCTGAGCTTCCAGGTGGACATAAACTTCAGAGGGACTCTATTCAGCCTAGTACACAAAAACAGAATAAAGAAGAAAAGCTATCTGATAATCTCAATCAATGCAGAAAAAGTATATACAAAGTCAATAACAATTCATTATTTAAAAAAAATTTTCAGCTAAGAATAGAACATCTTTGACCTGATAAACATCATCTACATAAAACTTACAGATAACATCATAATTAATAATGAAATATTAGTGCTTTTTCCTAAAATGGTGAATAAGGCACAAAAATACCTACTTCACCTATTTTTAGCAATGCGGTAAAAAGGAAGAAGTAAAACTCTCTTTATAACAGACTTTATTGTTTCCATAGAAAATTTTAAGAAATCTACAAAATACTAGTGGGACTAATGAGTGAATATAGCAAGTTTGTCAGATGTAAAGCCCATATAAAAATTTATTTGTATTTCTCTAATATCGCAGCAAGTGATTGAAAAATAAAATTAAATTTAAAACACTACTATTTACAATGAAGACATAAAATACATAGAATAACTCTAATATTACATGTGTAACAATTTTACATCAAGGTGAAAACTTATGCACTAAAAGTATATATATGCAAATACCTAATAAGCGTAGAAATGTGTCATGTTGATTAATTAAAAGACTGAGTATTGTTGGCCGGGCGTGGTGGCTCGCGCCTGTAATCCCAGCACTTTGGCAGGCCAAGGCGGGCGGATCACGAGGTCAGGAGATAGAGACCATCCTGGCTAACACGGTGAAACCCTGTCTCTACTAAAAATACAAAAAATTAGCCGGGTGTGGTGACGGGCGCCTGTAGTCCCAGCTACTCGGGAGGCTGGGGCAGGAGAATGGCATGAACTCAGGAGGCAGAGCTGGCAGTGAGCCGAGATCTCGCCACTGCACTCCAGCCTGGGTGACAGGGCGAGACTCCGTCTCAAAAACTAAAAACAACAAATAACAACAACAACAAAAAAAAAAAAAACAAAAAAGACTGAGTGTTGTTAAGCTGTGAATACTCCTCTAAATGATATTTAGATGGACTAAAATCCCAATTAACATGTCAGCAGGTTTTTTTCAGAAAAAATTAAGGCAATTGTAATAAATTTGAAGACTCATGTGACTTGATGTATCAGTCAGGGTTCTCCAAAAAAAACAAAACGAATAGGATGTGTGTAAATATATGAGGAGATTTATTATGGAAGTGGAGATTGACAAGTCATAAAATAGGGTGTCTGCAAGCTGGAGAACCAGAAAAGCCACTGGTGTAATTCAGTCTGAGTCTGAAAGTCTGATAGCCAGAGGAGTCAATGGTGTAATTCTCAGTCTGAGGCCCAAGGCTGAGGTGATAGACAACACTGGTATAAGTCCTGGAGGCTGGGTGATGGACAACACCGGTATAAGTCCTGGAGTCCAAAAGCCTGAAAACCTGGAGGTCTGATGTCCAACAGAAAGAGAAGATGAAGCTATCTCAGCTCAAGGAGAGACAGCAAATTCAGGCTTCTTCTACCTATTCTTCTGTCTGGACCCTCTAGAGATTGGATGACGTCTCCACATTGGTGAAGGTAGAAATTTTTTACACTATACACTGATTCAAATGCTAATCTCTTCAGAAAACACCCCCAAGACAGACACACCCAGAAATAATGTTGGTTTTTAATTAATTTTTTTTTTCCAGATAGAGTCTCACTCTGTTGTCCAGGCTAGAGTGCAGTGGCACAATCTCGGCTCACTGCAGTCTCGCTTCCTGGGTTCAAGTGATTCTCCCACTTCAGCCTCTCAAGTAGCTGGGACTACAGGTGTGTGCTACCATGCTCGGCTATTTTTTTGTATTTTAGTAGAGTTGAGGTTTCACCATGTTGGTCAGGTTAGTCTTGAACTCCTGATCTCAGGTAATCTGCCTGCCTTGGGCTCCCAAAGTGCTGGGATTACAGGCATGAGCCATCATGCCTGATCCAGAAATATGTTTTACCAGCTATCTGGTCATTTCTTCCAAGAGTCAAGTTGACACATAAATTAACATAAATTTTGCTATTACTCATGATAGCATACAACAGGTATAACTGGTGTACATGAGGTATAACTGGTGTACAACAGACAGATGAATGGGACAAAACAGAAATCTTGGAAATAGATTTACACAGACACCAACTATTCAATGGGAAAATAAAAGACTTTTTCAGCAAAACAACAATTTAGTAACTTTATAAATTATTATATAAAATTAATCTGAACCTCTACCTCATACCCTACACAAAAATTAATTCAACAGCAATCACAGACCCAAACCTATATGAACAAAAACTATTAAGCTACAAAGAACACAAGACAGTATATTAGGTTAAAGATAAGATAATCATCAATTGAATTTCATCAAAACTAGAAGCTTTCCTCTTCAAAATTCATCATTACAAAAATGAAAAGTAAGTCAGAAACTGGGAAAACTATATGTTCAATATGTATACTGAGAAAGAAGTTGTATCCAAAATGTTTAAAGAACTTTTACGAATCAACAACAATATAAAGATGCAAAAATAATGTGCGAAAGATTTAAACAGATACTTCAAAAAGGAAGATCCAGAAATTAATTTTTAAAATTATATTAAAATGTCCCCAGTGTCATTAACCTTCAGGGAAATAAAAATCGTTTGGGATAAGAGAAATGCATATAAAACACAAAGAGTTTCACTGACTAAAATGAAAAATTTAAGATGGACAAATAGTCAGTACTCATAAAAGATGAAAAATGGTACAATCATTTTGAAATATTGTTGGTATTTTCTTATCCCTAAACTTATAAATGCTTACCTTATGATACAGAATTCCACCCATTTACCAAAGGGAAATTTAAAATATGTGCACAAAAATATTAGTACCAAAATCTTTCTAGCCGCTCTGGTCATAATCTACAATAATCAAGACAGCGTGAAACTGGACAGGTGACAAATTGTTCAAATAATGGTTGCTTATCTAAAAGACAGAAAGTCCATTTAATGGGGAATATTTTTTCAACAAATAGTGCTGGAAAAATTTTATAAATGTAGTCAAACTAGCTCATATTTCAGATACAAGCTATTTTGACTACATTTGTGAAGATTCTGCATTTGTAGCAAAAGAAGAGAGTTAAACAAGTTGATCTATACAGTGGAATTCTACTCACCATTTAACAAAAGGAATGAATTTTTGTTATATGTGAGAACATGAATGACTCTCAAAAACAGTATTATGAGTAAAAGAAATCAGGAGCAAAAGAGAAAATATTGTATAATGTAACTACATGAAGCACAAATAGGAAAAACTAATCCATGAATGTCAGAAATAAGCCAAATGTTTGCCTACAAACATTTAGGGCTAGGGGTTGAGACTGACAAGAAAGGCTCAGAAGGGAAATTCCTGGGTTCATGGAATTACCTATATCTCAATTAGAATGTTGATTAAATGGATATATGTTTGTCAAAACTCTGAACTGTCCAGTTAAGATCTTTGCATCTGCTGCATATAAATGTTCTTCCCAGTGAAATCAAAGAAAATGTGCAAAAAGTATTCTAACTTTGGAATGTGAACTTAACAATAAAAAATTTATATTATACCAAATTTATATTATACCAAAGTAATCACTAAGTGGAAGATGGAAATTTCAAATAGAAATAATAAATAGATTTGAGGATTTTTACAAGTAATCTAAATAATAAAAAATGAACTATTGGACAAAGATTTCAATTTCTTGCTGATTTAATCTGAAAATTTGTATCAGTGATGGTAACATAATATACCACAACAAGAACACTGGTGACACTAAGGTCAGAATGGTTTATGAATGTCATGAATTTAAGGAGTATTTAAGATTACCCATTGCACAAAAGAAACTCTTAATTCTCTGTTCACACTTGAAAGATAATTCCATGAGCTTTTCTCATATTTGATAACAATTCTGAAATATTACCTTACATTATCAGTAATAAATTATGAAGCAGAAATAAACTTTTCTAAACTATCAATAATAAAGAACAATTTCAGATCAACCTTGCTAGAGGAAAGACTTAATTATCTTTCTATTCTCCACAGAAGATGATAGTACAACAATATTTATCATATAAAAAAGCAATCAAAGAGTATGCTGCCAAAAATGCAGGAAAATGATTATAGATGTCTGTTAGGTCTTTAATTAATAAATATATTAGGTTATTCTGGATTTTGTGATGCAGTATATTTTAGCATTTTTTAATTTGCAAGTTGTTATGGTTTCACATTTTAAATGCATATTCACTTTCCTACTCAATTTTACAATCAGAATTTTATCATCTTTTTTCTTAATAAGGACACACAAAATGACGATTTAATCTCCATGAAGCCTAGATCTGTCTCTGCTACAACACTGGACTACCACTTCTTTCAAGGGCCAGTCTTATAGGTTATAATAACCCATCATTACGTTCCCAGGGTGCTGCACCACTCCTTGTTAAGTGTTCTTCCCACTCCTACTCCAACCTCCCACCAGCTACTCCTCTCCATAGCTTCCCTATTGCATTAATAGATTAATTCCACTTGAAACACTTGAACCTAAAGTTCAAGAACAGTGTTACGATTTTCTTAGCAACTCAGCTCCCTCTAAACACACAATCCACACTATGCTTTTGAGATAGGAGGTGGGACTTGACTCTGGAGGTGGGACTTGGAAATCAGAACAAATTGAGGTCTAGCAACAACAGGTCTGGGGCAGAAGCATCATCTCCATAAGACACACCCACCAGTGTGCCATGTCAGTTTACCATTGCCATGGCAACTTTCCATGGCATTGGCCTGACAACATGGAAGTTACCACCCTCATTCTAGAAACTTCTGCATAAGCCACCCCTTAATTTGCATATAATTAAAAGTGGGTATAAATATTTGTGCAGAACTGCCTCTGATCTGCTACTCTTGAGCACACTGCCTATAGGGTAGCCCTGGTCCACATGGAGCAGTACCTCTGCCGCTACTGTACACTACTGCTTCAACAAAAATTGCTGTTGAAGACCACTGACCCACCCTTGAATTCTTTCCTGGTTTACCCAAGAAACCTCCCAAGCTAAGCCTCAATTTGGGGTCTTGCCTGTCCTGTATCACTTTGCTACAATTTCTCAATCAACTCTGTTGTCGTTTTTAGTGTCTCCAAACCTCTACACATAGGAGTAGCATCTATAGGGAAAGGGATAAAATTACAATATTTAATCAATATCAACTACGAACCTATAAATAATTTAATACCCTTATGACTCAATAAATACTGCAAGACAAATAGCGACAAGAAGATTTTGTAATACAACACTGAATTCCAAATAGAAAAGAGGAAAAGTAGAAATATATTCTAAATTTTTCCCCCCTTTTTCTTCTGGACATCACAAAATTTACAATGAAGAGCAAATGTTAAGATCTGCAAAATGGTATTTCTGCCAGTGAATAAATAGAAGATCTAATCATGGTGACCTTGGCAAGGTTGCCAGAAAAGCTCAAAAATGAAGAACTGGATTATTATGCAGTTATTTAAATAGGAATTTACATAAAAATTATGTGAGAAAATATTTAAAATACATTACATTTAAAGTTTGGTTACAAAATAGTTTGTACAATATGATACTAGTGTTTACTTTTAAAACACATATATAAAAAACATATATAATATATACACAAAAATCTAGAGGGAAATAGATGAAAATGTTAACAGTGAAGGGTATCTCTAGACAGTGAGACTGCTGAATTTATTCCTTTACACTTACTTGTCCATAATTACCATGTTTCAGCAATTAACATGTTATATCTTGTAGTAAAAAAGTTTTTTTAAATAAACTTATAAAGAAGGTTAAATGGACCGGGCATGGTGGCTCACGCCTGTAATCCCAGCACTTGGGAGGCTAAGGCGGGTGGATCATGAAGTCAGGAGATCGAGACCATCCTTGCTAATACGGTGAAACACTGTCTCTACTAAAAATACAAAAAAATTAGCCAAGCGTGGTGGCACGTGCCTGTAATCCCAGCTACTCAGGAGGCTGAGGCAGCAGAATCGCTCGAACATGGCAGGCGAAAGTTGCAGTGAGCTGAGATGGCACTGCTTTCCAGCCTGGGCAACAGAGTGAGACTCCGTCTCAAAAAAAAAAAAAACCAAAAAAAAAAAAGAAAAAGAAGGTTAAATGGCATGGGAATTATTCACAATATAATAAGTAAGAAATTGGATAAAGAAATATATACACTATGATCCCAAGTATGCAAATATACGTGAATGTATGTATAAGTACATGTATATGCAAATGCATTTTATTTAAATATATTCATATATATACAAACTAGCCTTCACGTACACTAGAAAAAGATCAGAAGGCAATTTAGCAGAAAGTTAACAGGCTCTTTCTAGGAGTTAAGCATATGGATGACTTTGATTTTTCTCACTTATACTTTTTATATTTAATTTCTTCTATAATTAACATATTTATTTTTAAATTAAGGAACTAAAAAAACAAACAAAAGAAAGAAGCAAATAAAAGAAAAAGTGTCAGAAAACAGTATGTGTTTTACAATCGTGCTCTGTAGCAATACTGCCCAAAGCCAGATGTTTACTGCTTCAGTGATGGGTTTTCTCCAAATTTTGAATGAATCTCTCTCTTTGTTCAGAGAATGGGAAAGAACAAACCTCAGGGTTTAAACCCTAATACAGATATAAACAACTGAAGAAAAATTAGATATGGAGAAGTGAAAAATAGTAGTATGAGAAGAGAAGAAAGAAAATGAGAAAATAGATATGCAAAGATATGTGTAAAGATTTGCAAATAGGTCAGCAAGTTTGGAGTGATTGCAGTTTGAATTTAAGTTGTAGAAGGTTATCTGAGGAACTCTAATACGTACATATTCTGGACAAAGACATTGTTAAAAAAACATCAACTCAGTAGAATCAACAAAGACTCACAAACACATGCACGTGCGCACATACACACACACACCACCACCACCGCCATGTATTATGAATATTGACTCTGAACCATAGATAGGCTGGAACACAGATCTGGCAAATGATTAACACCTACTTAAAGAGGCAAAAGGGAAAGGAAAGAGAGTTACCAGGTGTTTCTGGGAAAATTCAACCCATAGAGTATGTTTAGCAACAGTGGTGTTCACGCTTAAATGAAAAATGTTTGATTTCATATTAAAAATTTGAAATTTCTTTACCATTCTGCTTATTGAGTGTTTCCAAGTTATCTCTGTTCAAATATGATAAATACAAATAGGTATGTTTTGTCAAAGAATTACTTGACCCTGGTAGCTTTTAAGAATGGTCATTAATATACCAATACCCAAGTAAGAATCACTTCTCCCTAATTAAATTAAACTGCAGCACCTACCCTGTGGGGAGGGAAATTTGGGTAAGCATGGTTATAGTTTTACCACTGTAAATTGAAGGCAATAGCATCCTAAAAACAAAAAAAAAGCTGAGGTGTGCCTATGTGTCAATGTTCTCAGAATAGTATTTCTTCAGTTATTAATTTCTGTGTACTTTGTGTGTGATTGCTACAGAAGTATTTACTTTATCTAACTGAATTGAACTGAGGTCATAAAATTATCAAGAGTTCCAGTTTTCAGCAGCACTTCACCCCTGAGTTAGGAGGAATTTTTATTACTTGACCCCAGAAACCATTTATGCAACCCTTTCAGAGAAGGCTCCCATCAGCCGTGCTAAATTAAATCTAATTGTTGAGGCTGGACACTAGTACAGGGGAAACTAGGAACTGAACCCAAATCACCAGTTAACTTTCAGAGGGTAATAATTTTGTTTATTTCTAACTTATCCTATGTTTGAACCAGTGATTCACTTGTAAAAAGCAATTTTGAAAAATCGTATTAACCATTTACTGTTTACGGAACCTAAGCCTAATCTCTTTTTAAATCTGCTGTTTACACTAATATATATGATTATTTCAAGTAAGTATGGAAGATCTAATTCTAGGGTGAAAAATTATGCACATGTGGATAGAGTCCAATAGCTTTTTGTTTTTTACAAAACAGATTACCTCATGCGGTATAATCTCCAATTGAAAATTGAGGAGATAGCAAAACTGGGATTAGAAAAAGACATGTAATGAGCATGTCAGACAATGTTAGTTACTACACGTGTTACTGAAACACCACAGGTTGCATCTAGGTCCTGCTGCTTGCTGCACAGAAAGTCAATGACTGAGATGACAAGTACTGCCACGGAAGAAGGCTTTAATCAGGTCTGCAGCCAAGGAGATGGGAGCTGAAGCTCAAATCCGTCTTCGGGATTGACTAAAATTAGGGGTTTATATAGCAGGGAAGAAATGTAACTATCTAAGGGAAAACAGGAACTCCATAGGGGTAAAGAAGCCATCATGATGAATGAGGGGCCTGGTGTCTCATTGTCTGGATGTGATGATCTGGTGAATTCCAGTTCTTTCATACTTTTTGAGAGGCCTGGGGCTCCTTTCCTGAGGAAGAAACAGGTAAAGCAAATGTAAGTTTCAAGCTTTAAGACCAGAAGGATCAACTTCTCTGTTTATAAAAAACAAACAAACAAACAAAAAAACAGTCTATGGAACTATTGGGTTGGTTACTCAAGAATATAGTCAAAGGGGTATATAGGTGGTAAAAATGAGCCAGTGTTTAGAGTATCTCCATATTTGAACACTTCAGTGATTTTTAAAAGAAGCAATACCATCCTATTCTATTTCCAAAGGTATCAAAATAAAAGTATGCATGGTGAGATGTAGACTACCCCTGCAACTAAAAATTCTAATTTCAAGTTTTTGAAACATAGGAGTCTGACACAGAAAAGAAGAGATTATCCTGCTACAAGAAGAAATTTGGATATGCAAATGCTTCATCATTAATAATTTATAGGAACTATTGGTACTGGTGGTGAATCCATACAGGTCTGCAGAAACCTCATTTCTTGCCTCCCCTGAAGAAAGAATTCGACTGAGCAGCATAAGGCAGAAGGAGAGACCCAGACAAGTTTTAGATCGAGAGTGAAAGTTTATTAAAAAGTAGGATAGCAGGAATGAAAAGAAGTAAAGTACAGTTGGAAGAGGGCAAAGGTGACTTTAGAGTTTCAAGTGCACGGTTTGACCTTTGACTTGATGTTTTATACATGGGCATTCTTCCAGAGTCTACATCTCTTCTTCCCTGATTCTTCCCTTGGGTTGGGCTGTCCATATGCACAGTGGCCTGTCAACTCTTAGGAGGGGCCACATGCACCGTGTGTTTAATGAAGTTGTACACAGGCTCACTTGAGGCTTTTTTCTCTTACCAGTCCAGCGTTTCTAGAGGAAGGTCAAAGACCAGTTAAACTCTGCCATTTTGTCTTTTAGTGTGCATGCTTGAGCCCACTCTCCCAGCACCTGAGATCTTATTGGGAGGCTGCTAATCACCAGTTTCAGGTGTTTCTATCCATTGGGAGACTACCTTTCCGTGGTGTTAGCTGCACCCAGTTGTGATTTTAGAGAGACAGCTTAAAAACGGGCTGGGCGTGGTGGCTCACACCTGTAATCCCAACACTTTGGGAGGCCCAGGTGGGCGGGTCACCTGAGATCGGGAGTTCCAGACCAGCCTGACCAATGTGGTGAAACCCTGTCTCTACTAAAAATATAAAAATTAGCTGGTTTGTGGTTGTGCACGCCTGTAATTCCAGCTGCTCAGGAGGCTGAGATGGGAGAATTGCTTGAACCTGGGAGGTGGAGGTTGCAGTAAGCAGAGTTTGCACCACTGCACTCCAGCCTGGGTGACAGAGGGAGACCCTGTTTCAAAAAAACAAAACAAACAAACAAAAAAACTGATCATCACCTGATGGTCGCCTGACATTCCTGGTTGGGGGTTAGGGGGTCGTCTCCTTCCCTGCTCAGGTCTGCCTGACTACCTACTCTAACACTACCATTGTTTTATGGTAAGTATTTTCAAGTCCTGGACAAAGGATGAAAAATAAGTCTTACTGTTTAATTTGTTTGTAAAACTTTTGCAACAAAGAGAAAAAGAAAGTTCTGGCCACGGTGCTTTACTGTCAGGCATAACCTTGCTCTCTCAGCTTCTAAAATATCTGGTGTTCCAAAAATCTACTCCTCTTTACCTATGCTTTTGGTGTTTGTAATCAATAGACAATTTGGTAGTTTTATTTATGTAATTTAATGGTCCTCTGAAGAGCAGCAAAGTTCACATAGAGGAAATGTTTTAATACGATGGAATCTCCAAAATGTTAAAGAGTAGATGAAGATATGAATGCTCTAGTGTTTCTTCACTCTTCATATCCACCCCCATTTTACCAGAAGTAGGATACAGCTACATGACACCCTGCTTCATAATTTTGCTCATCCCTGATATAGATATTATATTAATTTTACCCTCCAGATAAGGATGTGTACAGGGTCAAAAATAATAGATGCATAAAGTCAGGATGAATTTTAATTCCTGGTCCTCAAAAATTCCATTAAGCTATATGGTTTCCCACAACCATGATTCTACCAATCAATTACACTAATAGTCTAAAGGAAACAATCAAACCACAACATTAAAGTAACAAGTAAGTGTTTCTGTTTAAGGGAATGAAATGAACAACTTTAAAAACAGAGGCTATTAGATGTGAATGCATGTGTTTTATAGAGTTTACTGTGGCATTTTCCAAATATGCCAATAATAAAATTTATCCTCAAATTATAACAGGAACGTAATATGCTCATAATAGGGAAGAAATGGATAGATGGGTGGATGAATAATATATGTATTCATTTAACATATATTGATTACTATATTCCAACTGCTTTTAGATGACAGCCAGTGCTCTAGGGTATTTGTCCCCAAGAAAATGAGCTCTGTGGTCTGTGAAAGGAACAAGGAGGTCAGCGTGCCTGGAATATGCTGGGGAAAATAATACAGGGAGAACCTGGAAATGTAGGCAGGTGCCAAGTAATGTATGATGCTACAAGCCATGGTACTTATGGTACTTGAACACTAACATAATCTATCTTTTTAAAAAATCATTCGGATTGTGACCAACAAGCTGTTACCTCACAAAGGATACAGTCTTCCCCTGTTTGATGTTACAAAACCAATATATGAGATCGAAAGTGAGTGTAAAGCAGTGGAGGCTTTATTCCATGGCCATGGAATTGAGAAGGAGGAGCATGGCTCACAAATCAATGTCTTCACTAGTAAGGGGCGAGAGGGTTAAAATATAGGGTTTCTCTAATGAAGGGGCTGGACATTAAAAGCAAAAGGAGGAATATTCATGTCTCTTCTGGAAATGGGTAGCAAACTTCCTGGAACTAGAGTGGTACCTTCCTTTTTGTCTTTTTCTGACTTATTTCAGTCATTGTTATGGCAATGGTCAACTGTCATGGTGCTGGTGGGAGTGTCATTTAGCATAGATATGAGATTATAATGAAGTCTGAGGTCCTTTTGAAGTCATTTGGCCTGCTATCTTGGTTCTAAGCAGTCTCAGCTGATCTGGTTACAAAGGGAGCTTTTTATCGCTGGTATCCTGTTTCTTAATGATAAGCAAATTTACAACAGAGTAGAAATTCAGCTATTTACATAGGGATTACACCAGGTAACAAGATCATTGTCAGTTTTGCAGAGGGACAAGTGTGGAAATGAGACTAGACGAGAGTCTATTGCCAACAGGAGGTATTGGTAGCTTAGATGGGGATATGTCTGAGAAGATAGAAAAGAGAACAGATTCCAACTAGACTTGTAGGTTTGACAAATAGTACTAACTGATGACTTGCAAGGGAAAGGTAAAGGGAAGATAAAACAAGGGGTTGAAAAACTTATTAGATGACAATATCATTTATTGAACTTGAAAAGACAAAGCATAGGGTACAGAAGGACAATCAAGAGTTACATTTTGGGCCGGGCGCAGTGGTTCGTGCCTGTAATCCCAGCACTTTGGGAGGCTGAGGTGGGCGGATCACGAGGTCAGGAGATCGAGACCATCTTGGCCAACATGGTGAAACTCTGTTTCTACTAAAATACAAAAAAAAAAAAAAATTAGCTGTGCGTGGTGGCGCCTGCCTGTAATCCCAGCTACTTGGGAGGCTGAGGCAGGGGAAGTGCTTGAACCTGGGAGATGGAGGTTGCAGTGAACTGAGATCGTGCCACTGCACTCCAGCCTGGCAACAGAGCAAGACTCCATTTAAAAAAAAAAAAAAGTTACATTTTGACCATCTTAACTCTGAAATGCCTGTTAGATATCTGAGATAAAGCAGGTGGCTATATACTCAGGACTATATGTAGTTATGGGTTGAAGTACCCTAGGAAAGGTGTGCAAAGAAAAATTAGAAAGATAAGTACTAGGTTTTGGATCCATTCCAACACTCAAAGTTTCAATAGAGGAGAAGTAGCAAATAAAACTAATAAATAGCCAACAAGGTAGATGAATAGTGAGGAGAGTCAGAAGTCACCATCACCAAGAATTTTAAGAAAAAAAAAGGAATTGTCAATTATGTCAAATGCTGCTGAGAAGTCAAGTGTGATGGGGGATTAAGTGAGCATTGATTTTGGCACTAAAGAGATTGGTAATTTAATAATTTCAGTGAAGATGTATGGGCAATATCTGGAGTGAAGTGGGAAGATGAGTGGATTTGAGGTGAAGATAGAGTGGGTAGTGCAGCATGACTCTTGAGATTTTTTTCTGTGAATGACAACAGAGAAGTGGGAAGGCAGCTACAGCTGGGTTGAAAGATCAAGAGATTTCCTTGTTGTGTATGTGATTGTTGTTGTTTGTATAATGTTAAAGTTTAAAAAAGCATAATACTGCAGCACATTTGTATATACATGGGAATCATGTGGAAGAGATGAAAATAATGAAGGTGTGATGATTCAGGAGAGCGAGAGAATGATTGCTAGTGGGAGGTCCCTAATAAGTCTAAGAGTACAGTGTGCAGAATACAAGGTGATAGGTTGGTGCAGGATAAAAGCAGGAACTCTTTTTCCATTGTAAATAGTAGAAAGAACAGAGCATGGTTCAGATACAGAATATGGATATTTTCTCTAATAGTTTCCAAATTCAGTGCATTCTGAAGTGAAGGGCATGGAGTGAGGTGAAGCAGAAATACCTTGAGTGAGCAAAGTAGCAGCATAAATTGCAGAGGTTAAGTGCAAAATGAAAATGCAGGATCCCTTGCTGAAAATGCAGGGAAAAAGTATATAAAGTATTAAAAGAAATTTTTTCTTCTGTTGTCTCTCAACTTTCTATCATGTGTTTTATTTGTTATTTAATATTGCTCTAAGCAAAGGAAAGTTACAATATTAAATTCTTAGCATAAATTTAAGCACTCATTGTTACAATGCCTTTTTAACTGGGAATATAAGAGCACTAAATTATTTAAAGAAAATCAAAATTACACAATTTGTATTCCACAGCTAGTACTCAGAGGGTGCTTCAAACTAGCTAGAATAAACACCGCATACTAGATTCAGGAAGGTTGTAAGTCAGAAGAATGGGCTCTGCAAGGCATGTAGCCAGCAGGAGGAGTGCTCCTTTCGGAACTAAGACACTCACAGGGCAAGGGAAGACTCTTGTATGTGCCTGGGGCCTCCACCCTGTGTCTCACAGCATGTTGGGGTCCCATTCCTGCCAGCTGCTAGACTAACATAGGGCCTTGTGGATGAAGTGGGCTCTAGGGAAGTCAAATCAGTTGTCTCTCCTTCCCACAGGCCTGCTGCTCCAACCATGGTAAATGGGCCATACCCAGGGTCCTTAAACTCCAATATATGCCAGGATGTACTTGGTACCTGGATCAAAGGTGGGTTAGAGGCTTTCTCCCACCCATATGTGATCTTTACCGGGCCTATATGCATTTGCAACTGCCAGCTCAGAGTAAAAAACTCCCACCACATCCAACCCAAGAGGAGAAGGTCAACAGTGAATGGGGTGCCTCCCCCAACTCACACAATCCAGTCACTGCTCCGGACAAAGAGTGACAGACTTCCTTGGATGGAAAACAGAAAGGGAGGCTGGGCAGGGTGAAGTGTCAAGGGTAGCAGATGGCCTAGACCCTAAAAGGCAAGGAGGTGTCAAGAGGCAGGACCACACAAAATCCAAGACTCCAAGTGCTTGGCATCTGCTCTGTTATCCCATTAGACTTCATACAAAATATGAGTTCTAAGATAACATTAAGAATTTGAAGGAAGCAACCACAGATAACCACAGACCATTAAGCTACAGTGTGGGGTGGAGGTGAGGGGGTTCTGAGCATAGAGCTCTATGTGTTTGCAAAGGACCATAAACATGGTCCTGTGTGCAAGTGTCTGAAAGGGATCATTCAGCTAGTTGTAAGGTATGATGGCTTACTCTTTGTAAAACCAAATCATTATTACAGTTTAAGTGGGAGACATTTCTCTATGAATCTCATGTTTCTGCATATCTTGTCATCTTGCCAGAGAGGCACTGACTGCCTTTAATTCCAGACTCTTTTCAAGGATATTTGCATTGTGAACTGCCATGGAAACTAGAGATAAGGCCTTTATCTGAAGCAAACAGGAAGCATGCTTCTTGCCCATTATAAAATATTCAGGTTTTCGAAGCTCACACCTTCCCTCCTGTAAGCAGTTCATGACTTGAGCAGGTTTCATCTAGCCCTCTTCCCATCTCCCTGTGGGAACTAGGGCTTAGGAAACTGGCCAAAACAGAAATGCTGATACTCTGGCTACCACTTAGGCTGACCCATTTATCTCTGACCTAAGGATTTCATAACTTCTATCAGCATGTATTAAAGTGTGGCAGGCTAACTTGCAAGTAAGGTAAGAATCCAAATTATTAATACCTTTGCTTTAGTTCTGTACTCTCTGATCAAGTGTTCCCAAGAATAATTGAATTTTCAAACTACACACCAAAATTTAAGTCATTTTCATTCCCCTTTAGCAGATCCAGGAAATGCAGGCAAAAATGTCTGGAAAATAAGCATCTAGCTTCTAAAGCATCGCTTTCCAAAGTGTTTCATTGGATCACAATTGATGATACATACATACACAAAAAGTTGCCCACAGTGATGTAAGTTCAAAGTAATATTGCTTTATTGCAAAAATTTTAAGATCTTTTAATGAAGAATTCTGAAAATTGTTTCTTCATACACTCCATCAATAACAATGTTGAGCACATACCTCCAATACATATGCATGCATTTATACATAAATAACTGAACTATAGTGTTAATGTTATATACATTTTTAAATATACAAAAATAAAAAAATTTAAAAGGTTATGAAAATAAATTTACAAGGAAACTTTCTCATGGTTCTTTCCTACCTGCTACTGAATCATCTTTGTACACTATGAT
The DNA here is from genome assembly GCF_000001405.40 of Homo sapiens. Taxonomy (NCBI): domain Eukaryota; kingdom Metazoa; phylum Chordata; class Mammalia; order Primates; family Hominidae; genus Homo; species Homo sapiens. Next base: position 105,041,056 of record NC_000003.12, read on the forward strand.
ATGAACATACCCCATTTGGAGACTACCGCTTCAGTGAGTTGATGTACATTACAATCTGCAAAGGGGAGATACATGTGTAGTTTCTCCAACACAAATGACTATGGAACTTTTTTTCCTTTAGGGGGACTCCTCTAAAATGAGGGTTTCTTAGAGTGTATCTGCAATGGACCAAATGTTTATGTTCCCTCAAAATTCATATGCTGAAACCGAATTCCCAAGGTGATGATGTATGGACGTGAGGTTCTTGGGAGGTGCTCAGGTTATGAAGGTGGAGCCTTTATGAATGAGTTAATACCCTTATTTTAAAGAGACCCCAGAAAGCTCCTTTGCCCCTTCTGCCATGAAAGGGCACAGCAAGAAGGCAATTGTTTATGGACTAGAAAATGACACCGAATCTGCCAGTGACATGATCGTGGGCTTCTCAGCCTCCAGAACTGTGAGAAATAAATGTCTGCTGTGTACAAGCCATCTAGTCTATGGTATTCTGTTACAGTAGCCTGAAAAGACTAAGATGGTACCTTAAAAATACTGATCTAATCTCCAGAGGCTTCAAATTGGTGGCCCGGAGCAATCTCATTTACTATAATTGAGTTTGCATGACTTTACTCAGCAATGTAGTTAGTCTCCAATTTACCTAATCTTCGGAAATTTTTGAGTTACAAATCTTCTTTATTCATTTCTTTATCTAGCATATAAAGTCCTTTTCATGTTTTATCTTCACTTGGATTGGTTTGAATACCACACGAAGTTTAGTGAGAAGGTTCATGGCTTTAGGGGAGCATAATTTCTTCAGAATGGACACAGACATTTTTGGCCAGGGATAAGTAGGTGATAGCTTGCTTGAATTGGACCTACATCGAATGACATGCATGACAAGTTAATCTTTAATGCCTATCCCCACTATTGTTTTAGGATTATTTGTGCCAAAACACATTATTCCTAGGTTATTTATGCTTTTTCACGTTTAAGAGGGTTACAGCTTCAGCCTATGGCTGAGTCTGAGGGAAACAAGTTGTTGGCTGATGCAATAATGAAAGAATAAGAGGTATAAATTTGTCATCTCTTTCTATGCCATGCCATTAGCTAGTGATCAACTTTTTCACACAGTTAAAAGAAAATGTTAAATTAGCTGAGCACGGTGGCTCACGCCTGTAATCCCAGCAATTTAGGAGGCTGAGGCAGGCAGATCACGAAGTCAGGAGATCGAGAGCATTCTGGCTAACACGGTGAAACCCCGTCTCTACTAAAACTACAAAAAATTAGCCGGGCATGGTGGTGGGCACCTGTAGTCCCAGCTACTCAGGAGGCTGAGACAGGAGAATGGTGTGAGCCCGGGAGGTGGAGCTTGCAGTGAGCCAAGATCACGCCACTGAACTCCAGCCTGGGTGACAGAGCGAGACTCTGTCTCAAAAAAAAAAAAAAAAAAAAGTTAAATCTACTTCAGAGTTATTTTGTTGGATTTTAAATTAGATAGAAAAAATAATTTAAATGTTTCTGACATTCTTATCCTGAAGGTAAATTAAATATTTCAAAGTACATAGCTGAATTATATGAATCCTGCATAATTTGCATTGCTTCTGTGATCCAGTGAAAAAAATGGAAGAAGAGAGAAAGGAATATATAAACAGAGTAAGTACCTTCTTTTATTTGAAACATTTTCAAATGTTAGCCAGGAAAAGGAGGCATTTTGCAAGGTGTTATGCCAACTGGAATTGTATTGCCATTCATTCTATTCCCGTAGGGAGAGAGTGAATGAGACAGTAATTGATTTCTTCCAGGAGGAACCACCACCCGTGACTCTTACTGTTCTTATACATCATTAGTCAGACAATAGAAAGTTTCCTAATGGGATTTTAGAGTCTCTTGAACCTAAAAAAATGTATTTTCACGTTTTAATTATTAAATTTCAATATTGTATGATGCATCATGTTTTTGCTATTCTCAGCTAACTGATTTAGATTACAACAGTGGGACACATTATTGGACAGAATCAAAATTGAGGTTCTAGTGAATAAGGTACCTAGAATGAAGTATTTTTCCAAAGGTACAACACAGTTGTGGAGAACTCATAATAATTTAACTTAATTACCCTAAAAAGGGGAATATATTGGAGGCATAAAAAGTACAATATTTAAATGTTTGAGCAACAAACAGGGTAAGGTGAACATAAAAATTGTCCATGTTGAGTGTTCTTAGTCCACATCCACATTTCTCTCTCAACCCCATAAGAACCAAGAGGGCATGTTTGATACCCCTAACATTTGAACTAGAAAACAGGAATGAACAACTCTAAGGAAACAGAACCAGAAAGGGTGATGATAAATTCAGCCTCATGTTCAAATAAATTTTCATTAGGTTTTAAACGGTTTCTGTTACACCCAGTAGAACTTCAGAAAACAGATTATGGAATCTCACCATCTTATCATTTTCTTCTTTCTCTCTCCTCCTTTCTATATGTATAGAATATATATAAAAATATTACATATATAAATAATTCTCCATATAATAAATTTCTACATATAGAAACACATGTATATTTCTATATATGCAAAGCATATCTATATACTTTTTTTTTAATCATGTCTCTGTGGGAACAAGACGTAATCCTCTCAAGTCCCCGTCACACTCTATTTTTATGGCTTATACTTTTGGCAGGCTTAGATGGTCTAGGATGAAGAATCATATACAGTTAAGCCATTTGTCTATAACAAAGTACAAAGTCAGAGGAAAGAAGCAAGCTATCAGTTGAGCAGTGGTGTTTTTCTATCCCCAGGTATTGATCATATAACTAAACCTTAAAGGATTAAAGATCTATTTCTCAAAATGTAGAACACAGGGGTTGTCTTTCTCTCTTTTTCTCTTTTTTTTAATTCATGCTGCTAAGGTGGCAACTAAATTAATAGTTTGTTTGCAAGGTATGAAGTTTATTAATAGCACAGGAGAGGCAAATAAACAGAAAGAGATTACAGAACAGTGCTGATGGTAGTTATCACTAAATATTAAAACTACCTCCTCTGCACAATTAAACTCAGTGCTGAACATTTGGAAACAGAAGAAACTAATGACAAATTGCCTCAACTTTCCCAATATCGGAAGCTTCCAAAGCTATGTGAATACTGTGGAAGTGATGAGGGCAGAAGTCAGGACAATGGGCTCATGATTAAGCTGGCGGGAAGACTCACTAGGTGGAGTAATGCAGTTCCAAAGAGCAACATTAATAGCACTGACTGGGCATTGAAGAGGTTACTCTACTGATGCAAATACCAAATGGCCTGATTTCAGTTTCCAACTGTGTTCCCCAGAGAAAGGTCAAACCCAACTGTACCAATGTTGACTTCCCCCCTTTCTCTACCCTATAACCACTAAACATAAGTTCCTTCCATAATATCAGAATATATGTTCACAATTATAATTCATGACATTAGTTGACAACATTAATTCTTTGTTTCCTTATTTGAAAGATCGTTTGAGTAACCCAAATTCTGATCACTATCAACAGTGAGTCGCCATGTTAAACCTAGGCAGTCCGAACTTTATTTCATCTCAGTGTAACTACTTTTCTGCTGATGAATTAAATAGCAAAATGTCGTTTCAGGTTGTGTTTTAAGGTTGTACCCTAGAGAGAAATTTCAGAATCAGCTTAGTCAACAGAGCTGCATTTCCTAGCTTACATTTGATTGAATGTGATCTGTCCACAGAGTGCTTTGGAGTGAAGACAGTAGGTGATACATAATAACTAAATAGAGAGAATTATATTGAGGCACTTAGGGAGGGAAACGTAAGAAACGTTATGGCCAGTTATCACCACTGCAATCAAACTGTTCTAAAGGAACCTCATACGAAATATGTTGTCAATGAGAGCAGTTTCAATTACTTATTCTTATTAACATAAGCAAAAAACAATCACTTGTAGAAAGATCATTTAAAAATATTTGATCATTAAGTTTTTCATCAAAAGTCCTCTTTTTCATTAATTTCTTTCTCCATATTAATTTTTATGCCACTTTATTTTTTTATACTAATACCTTTAAAGTATCTAATTATTTTCTTTCAACAAATTTAAATTGACACCCTGCAAAATACTAATAACATCTAAACTGCCCAGGAGAAGAACTTTCCTTTTCAGACCAGTCAACCCACGGTATTATTAGACATTTTATATATATATATATATATATATATATATATATATATATATATATATATATATTTTTTTTTTTTTTTTTTTTTTTTTTTTTTGGTAAGACAGAGTCTCGCACTTTTGCCCAGGCTGGAGTGCAGTGGCATGATCTCGACTTACTGCAAGCTCCACCTCCCGGGTTCACGCCATTCTCCTGCCTCCTGAGTAGCTGGGACTACAGGTGCCTGCCACCACGCCCGGCTAATTTTTTGTATTTTTAGTAGAGGCAGCGTTTCACCGTGTAAGCCAGGATGGTCTCAAACTCCTGACCTCATGATCCACCCACCTCGGCCTCCCAAAGTGCTGGGATTACAGGCATGAGCCACCGCGCCCAGCCATAAATTGTTGTTTTAAGCCACTACATTTTTAGGTGATTTGTTAAATAGTAACATATATCTAAAACATCTAACATAGAAAATAATAAAATGATAAAAATCTTGAAATTTCTGAAATTTGAAATTTCAGAAATTTTGATGCCAAAATTGATTTCAATATTGGCTTAAATAGTGATACCGGCTGGGTGCGGTGGCTCATGCCTGTAATCCTGAGAGGTGAAGCCAGCTGGACTTCCTGGGTTGAGTGGGGACTTGGAGAACTTTTCTGTCTAGCTAAAGGATTGTAAATGCACCAATCAGTGCTCTGTAAAATGGGCCAATCATCAGGATATGGGCAGGGCCAAATAAGTGATATAAACTGGCCACCCAATCCAGCAGCAGCAACCTGCTCGGGTCCCCTTCCATGCTGTGGAAGCTTTGTTCTTTTGCTCTTCACAATAAATCTTGCTGCTGCTCACTCTTTTGGTCTGCACTACCTTTATGAGCTGTAACACTCCCTATGAGGGTCTGCGGCTTCATTCCTCAAGTAAGCGAGACCACGAACCCACCAGAAGGAAGAAACTCCGGACACACCATCGTTAAGAGCTGTAACACTCACCGTGAAGGTCTGCGGCTTCATTCTTGAAGTCAGCGAGACCAAGAACCCACTGGAAGGAACCAATTCCAGACACAATCCCAGCAGTTTAGGAGGCTGAGGTGGGCGGATCACGAGGTCAGGAGATCAAGACCATCCTGGCTAATATGGTGAAACCCTGTCTCTACTAAAAATAAAAAAAAATAGCCAGGAGTGGTGGTGGGTACCTGTAGTCCCAGCTACGTGGGAGGCTGAGGCAGGAGAATGGCATGAACCCGGGAGGCAGAGCTTACAGTGAGCCAAGATTGCACCACTGCACTCCAGCCTGGGCGGCAGAGTGAGACTCTGTCTCAAAAAAAAAAAAAAAAAAAAGAATTGATACCAAAGTGTGACCCCAAAAAGTAACATTACAGCTTAGTCTTCCATGAAGTATTGATAAATGTCTCTCTCTCTCTCTCTCCCCCCCTTCTCTCTCACACACACACAAAAATAAAATATTAGTATTATTACATAGATGTAAGCCATACATTCAAAGAATAATAAATACAAATACGAGTGATTCACCCCAGCAAAACAATGTAGTACAATACTAAAGATACAATGAAGACCTGAGTAATAAAGTATATTCTCACATACAATCAGAGAGGCAATATGCCAATATCAAAATATAACAATTATATGCTTTTTTATCTGGTAATTCCACTATTTGAAATTTATCTGATAGAAAGACAAAAATATGGACTCAATATACACTAATGTAATGTTGATTGTAGCATTGTATATAAATAGTAAAATCTGAAAATATACTCATTAATAAGAAAATGTTTATAGGATTTATAGAAATATTATATATTAGGCAGAAGTTTAAAATATGAATTGCTTGTCAATATGAATTAACTGCAGGAAACAAAGGTATGTTATAAAAACAGTATAGGATAAGGCAAGTACTTGATACTATCTGCAACATAGGGATATTTGCCTTTTCTCAAACACACATATGAAATTTTAAGAAGGAAACAGGAAAACATTAAAGCCATGAAAATAATTATCTTTGACGAGTGAGACAGGAAAAGCGAAAGAAGAGAGAAATTTACTAATTATATTATATATTTCTAGTTGTCTTTAATTGTTACATGCATGAGTTACATATATACATATATAGATGCACATACATATATATATTCTCCATGTTTACGCATCAATCTTAGCACTTCCCCATGTACTTAGTCCTTTTCCTCACATTCCCCTTGTCATTATTTTAGTAAGGAGGCCAGGCATCTCATAATGTCTGTCTTTTAATAAAATTTAATAAACATTTGTTAACTGTCTAATAAAAAAGAGGCATTATAAATGTGTATAGTTTTGAAACAACAATATCACTTCCAGGAATATAGTCCAGGGAACTGTTTTTTAAATATGGTTTTGTTAATTTGTGGGTAGGGAAATCAATGTATCAGTAAGAAATCAACATCTTATATGAGCTATATTCAATAAACTAGAATAGGGATGAAACAAAAGAAAGCACATAGAAAAGGTGAGTGTTGTGTTGGTTAGCTTCTGGTTTATATGTATGAGTACAAAGATATTTTGCCATAGGTTGTGAGTATTGGCTGAGTAGATTAGACTATCTATGTCCTGTTTCTTTTACATAGTTCAATGCTGTATTAATTTTGATGCTGAGTAAGCACCTAGAACTCTAACAATGAGAAAAAGGTGAATAGCTTACAAAATCATAATTTTGGGGGCCTTTTAGATAGTAGAAGACACAAAGAGACTGGGTAAACTGTATTTTCAAAGAAAACAAGCACCTTGGAGAAAAGGTAGAACATAATTTAATTTTCTGCTAAGCAAGACAGCAAGAGAGTAAGAGTCAGCCTCCATAAAAGCAGGTGAGAAGAACACAATTGAAATTTAATGAATTATTTGAGGCTCAATGTGGGGTACTGTGACTTTTAGAATACTTGGGAACCCAAGATACAAGGAGGTTCTTCACCTACTCATCAGGCCTTTTCACAGGCCTTTCTGAGATTCTCATAAAAAACTGGTGGCAAGGCAGAAGACATGTGACCATTACCTAAGTGTGTGGACTTCGAGAGTAGGCTTAGGTCTGAGGGTGGAGCAGCAGTCTCTGGAGGCAACATTCATGATTTTTCAGGACCTGCATGAGTATAAGCAGGTGATCAGCTGCCACTTCAGGACAGGCATCAAATCTGCCCACATTGTGGAACCTTTTCTGATACATAGCAAAATCCATCTTCTACTGGAGAAGAAGTGGGAATCCTCTCACCCACCAGTACTTGCCCTGAACCGGGCAAGTTCACCTGCCAGTAGATTAGATTTGTATTAACAAGGGCAAAAACCTCTGTCACTAGCAGAGGGGCAGGATGCTGAAACATACTCAGAATCCTGCACTGATACAGGCACAGTTCATTGCCACAGGGGAGCAGAGAAGAGGCTGAGACCATATTTGCATTAGAGGAATGGGTTGTTTATCATCACAGAAGGAGCAGGAATGCTGGGAAAGTCTCACTATTACTTGAAAGGTTATATTAATATTTGAAAGTACACTCATAAATTTAAGATCTAGATTTTAAACCTAAAAGCAGAATTTCTCAACCTTGGTGCTATTAACATGGCTAGCCAGGTATGTCTTTGTTGTGGAGGCCACTGTATGCGTTGTAAGACATTCATTAGGATCCCTGGCCTCTACCTCATAGATGCCGGTAGCATCACCCAGTTGTGACAACCCAAAAGGTCTCCAGATATAAATATTGCCAAATGTCACCTGGGTGCACAAAATCACCACAGGCTGAGAACCACTGGCCTAGATTAATGATAGATAGATAGATAGGTACGTAGATAGTTACATAGATAAATAGGTAGATAGATAGCTCATAAGTAAATAGATTAAGTTATAAAAAGTAATCACATTTTAAAGAGGCCAGAAAGAGAAAAAAGGAGCAAAGAATAGACAGGTCAAATAGAAAATGAGCCATCCAAGTACCTCAAATAAAAAAACTAAGGTCTGTCTTCCATTTAATCTGAAAGCATCTCTCAAATTTGGTATTTGGCATTTGGGGTATCTCAGACATTAGTGAAAGTGTAGTGATATTTCACCTTCATCCCTGAGCTCCCTTTTTTCCCGTTTGTAGATCTCCATCCACAGTAACTGTCTGAAGTCATCCCACTTCTTTTTCAGGTAGATTGCATTACTTTTTACCAAAAATTCAGGGCTTAATCTTATGTATCAAAAAAGTCATGTTTTCTGTTTGGCTAATACATGTTTTATTTACTCTAAGTTTCCTCATTAAGATAGACTTTGACATTTTGTCATATGCTTTCCCCACATGCTCCAAACATAGACTCATAAGAGCAGGGAGCTTAGTCTATTTTGTTCAAAAATGATGTTCAGGTTGTTAGAATAGTGCCTGGGACAGTATTTGGAACCTAAAATTCTAGGAAAAAATATTTCTTGAATGAATGAACAAACGGATGAGTGAATAATTGAAATGATGCAGTAAATAAGTATTTTTTTCCCTCTTGAAATTTATCTGCCCCATCTTCTTATAAGGAAAACAAATTCACCTCTTATTTTATAGTTTTTATTATTTCTATTCCCAGTACATATGAATGACAGATTAATTAAAATATGTTTTGGAGTAGAAATTTATGCCCAAAGAAAAAATACAATTGCTTAAGAAAGAATATGATTTTTTTTTTTTTTGAGTCGGAGTCTCACCAGGCTGGAGTGCAATGGCGCGATCTTGGCTCACTGCAACCTCTGCCTCCTGAGTTCAAGCAATTCTCCTTCCTCAGCCTCCCAACTAGCTGGGACTACAGGAGCCCGCCACTGCGCCCAGCTAATTTTTGTAATTTTAGTAGAGACAGGATTTCACCAACCTGGCAGGCTGGTCTTGAACTCCTGACCTCGCGATCCACCCGCCTTGGCCTCCCAAAGTACTGAGATTACAGGTGTGAGCCACTGCGCCTGGCCAAGAAAGAATATGATTTTTTAAAAAAATGAATAGACAAGATTCCTTCCCTCCAAGAGACTAAAACTTATTTGTGGAATATAGAAAAGCTGAATGCATCTAGCGTACAGATACAAATCAATTTGTCAGTCAGTGGAGAACAATCTACTGTAAAAATGAAAGACGTGATATGAGTGGTGCAGGGAGTGAATCCAAGGAGAATTCTTAGAAAAAGTTATTTTTTGAATAAAATATTGAATAAAGTGTTGGAACACAGATTGTCAGCTCAGACAAGGAAGGACATTCCCCTAAGATTAAAATGCTGACACTAAACATAAAAAACTTCAAGCAGGTTTTATTGGAATGGAGTTAAATATGGAGAATAGAAAACAAAAGAGAAAATGTGGAAGCCTTATAAAAATGATAGAAGTTGAATGCTAATGTGAAAATAAGGGAATTTACCAATAAATGTTAATATGTGGAATTAGAATTTAGAATTGAATTATCAGTTCTCCTAAATTGTGCTTAGTAAATGTCACTAAAATTCTTTTAAAATAAATATAGCTTTAGGGTAGAGTTGGTCAATTCACTGCTATACCCTCATACTCCAAACAAACAGCAGTGATAAAGTAAAATATAAAAAGTGAAATCCCAAAAGGAAAACATGGCTCAAAACTATGATAATTATTTTTGTAAACAAGAAATAGAACCAAATTACACACTGCTAAGTGGGGGTGAACTGTATATAGACATGCTGGGCTCAGTCTCAGACAAGCGGTAGCAGATGCGAAATCAGCTCCAGCTAGGTAATAGAGGCTGCAGTCCAGGCTTTCACAGCTCAGCTCAAGGAAACACGCTTGTGTTCAAACCACTGTTCCAGCATTAGCTACCTGTGATAAGCATTTTACCTGAGATTAGCTACCTGTGATAAGCATTTTACCTGTGATGATTAGCTACCTGTAATAAGCATTTTACCTGTGGTCAAATGGTGCTAGTAATAACTACCTCATAGGACTGCATGAGGATAAATTGAATGGGAACATGAAGGGCACTCAGAAGAATGCTAGACAGTCAGTAAGTGTATTAGAGTCCATCCTTTTTCATCTATTTAAAGCTTAAGCTATGATGTTGCTCCATTTTCTTTACATCAAGTTTGTGCCTCCCGCCGGATCATTCATAACAGCATACAAACAGGCTGACCTGACTGCCCCTGCCAGCTCTTACTCCATTTCTTGCTCTCTTTGTAGCAAAATACCTTGAAACAGTTGCTATATTTTCTCCAGTTCATCTCCTGTTATCTTTTAAACTCACTTCACCTATTTTTTCACTCCCAAAGCTCAATGAAACTGCTTTTGTCAAGGTCACTAATATATTTTGTTGCTTCTCAGTCCCAATCTCATCTGACCAATCTGCAGCATTTGACATAGTTGTTTTTTTTTTCCTAATCTTTGATAAGATTTTTTTCCCTGCTGACTTCCAGGACTCTAACCTCTTTTACTTTTCCCCTTCTACTTTGTTGGTTACTCCTTTTCTGTATTCTTTTTTTAATCTTCCTCTTCTACCAGACTATTTCATGTTTTAGGGAAGCAGACCTCTGTTTTAGGGATACAGAGCTCCATTCTAGGCTTCTTGTCTTCCCTATCATGCTCACCCATTTGGTGATGTCATCTAGTCTGTGGCTGTAAATACTGCCTATATACTGAAGTCTGCCTAATTTATGTATCTTATTCAAATTTCAATCTCAACCCTAATTCTGAAATCCAATTGCCCACTAGATATCTCTACTTGAATGTCTAAAAGACATCCCAGAGTCAACAGATCAAAAATTGAACTCATATTTTTCTCCTCCATCCTACCCTAGAAACTTGCTCTATTGCAGCCTTCACCATTATATTAATAGTTGTTGTCAAATCCAAATTTTTAATTTGCTCTAGAAAAAGAGAGAGAGGGAGGGGAGAAAGTTGGAGGAAAGAAGGAGGAAGGGAGGGAGGGAGAAAACATAGGTGCTATTCTTCTCTGACATAACACATAAAATCCATCAGCAAATTCTGTCGGTCATACCTTTAAAATGGATATTATATCTTAAATACAGTTGAAAGTTGACTACCTCCAACTATAATCACTGCCACCAATTCTGTATGAGCCACCTTGACAGGATACTGTAATAGCATCCTAACTGCTTCTGCCTTTATTTGCTTACAATCTGTTTTTAACATAGCAGCAAGGGTGATCCTTTTAAAGCTTAAGGCAGATTATATAACTTATCACCACATGTCCTTCCTCAGGTTCTCCACCTTATTTACAGGAAACCTTACATTCTTACAGTGGCCTACAATGTCATGATCTACCACACTCATCTTTATGGCCACATCTCTTACTGCCCTTCTCCCAGCCAAATTTGCCATTTTGCTCATTCTCAAGTGTGCCAGGCACACTCCTGCCTTAAGAGTCTGTGTTTGAGCAGTTCCCTGAAAATGCTTCCCCCAGGAGTTCACTCGACTACCTACCTCATCTGCTTCAAGTATTTGCTCAAATTTCAAATTCTTAATGAGGCCTATTTTACCACTTTATTCAATACAACAACTTGCCTCTTACATTTTCAGCCTCCTTTTTTATAATAGTTTATGCTTTTAAAAATGTATATATTATCTTCCAGCATACCCCATCATGTACTTATTTATTAAATTTGTCATTTATTATCTGGGTTCTCCACTGTAATGTAAACTTCAGAAAGACAGAGATCTCTCTATATTTTGTTCCCAATGTACCCAAGTACAGACAACAGTGCCAGTCTCAATTGTTACTGCCCAAAACTTTTGGAAGCCCTTCTATTAATGGAAATTAATAAATTGGTCAAGAATGCCCACGATGAAAGCTTAAGTCAAACTGAAAGTACTAGGGAAAACAATAAGATTGGAAACAAAGTTGCATGATATTTCGGGGGAAAAAGTTCACATATTTATAATTTGCACAACGACTACACAGAAAACCCAACTACAAACTTTCTAACAAGAGAATTTATCAATACTGCTGTATATAAAGTTAACCTGAAAATAGTGTTCTCAGGGATTAGTAAAAGAAATGTAATAAAAAGGACAACCACACTTATAATGGCAAAATAAATAAATAAGAAATCTACAAATTACTTAAGATCAAAAATAGTATAAGTGCAAGAAAGTTATGAAGAAAATTACCATAATATTGAGAGACATTTTTACCAGGTGCAATGGCTGATGCTTGTAATCCTAGCACTTCGATAGGCCAAGGTGGGAGAATCACTTGATCTCAGAAGTTTGAGACCTGCCTGGGCAATATAGTGAAATCCTGTCTCTAAAAAAAAAAAAAAAAAAAAAATAGCCAAGTGTGGTGGCTTGCTCCTGTAGTACCAGCTACCTGGGGGACTGAGGCAGGAGGATAGCTTGAACTCAGAAGGCTGAGTCTGCAGTGAGCCAAGATTGCGACCCTGGGTGAGAAAGTGAGAACCTGTCTCAAAAAAGAAAAAGAAAAAAAATTGAAAGACATTGTAAAATATCGAGTAAATTAAGATAAACATTATGTGCATCAATTGAAAGTTTCAATATTATATACCCGTTTATTAACCTCTAATGAATATATACACTCACATCACCCAAAAGGTTTCAATTTATTGTTTATATTTGTTTGTAATCAACTATAAATATGTATGAAAGAACAAAGTGCTAAATGGCCAAGATTTTTAAAATCAGCTTGTCTAACAAGGATTTAAGGCCAAGAATAGACAAATATACCAATGCAAATGAACACAGAACAAAGACACAGATCCTAAAAACAAACCCACACATAAACAGAATTTTTATGTATTATGGAGAAGCGATAAAAAATCGGTGGTAAAGGTTAAAATATACAATATATGGTGTTAGGGTGTATGTTAGTGCATGGAAAACAATAAAAATTATCTTTCTCATACAATACCCTAAAATAAAATCTGATTAAATTAAGGAGTTAAAAGTGAGAAAAAATTACTTTGAAGATTTTAAAAGCATTTATGAAAAACTGTCTTCATAAATTCATAATAGGGAAGAATTCCTTAGAAACAAAAAGCTAAGAACAACTAGGACAAAGAATAGGTTGACAAGTTGCATTCCATTAAAATTAAAATTTCTACAAACTAATACACTGATAAAAACTGAAAAAATAATTTAGAGTGGAACATTATATTTGCAACACCCCAACACCACCAAAAATGTGGCAAGAAAAAGAGTATTTTAAATGCCCATCACTAAATAATAAAAAGACATAAACCCTATTCTAAAAAGGGAAAAGATGTTAACATACACATCAAAGACAAAAACAATTATCAATCTCAATAGTACTTGTAGAACTGGAAATTAAAATAAAGCATAATGAGATAATACAAGACAATTTCCAACACAATAAATTGTTTTTATTTTTGCTTTAATGTTATTATTTTCTTTTTTTTAAGGTGAGTTCTTGCTCTCTTGCCCAGGCTGGAGTGCAGCAGCGTGATCATAGCTCAAGGTAGCCTCAGACTCCTGAGCTTAAGTGATCCTCCTGCCTCCACCTCTTGAGTAGCTAGGACTACAGGCACACACCACCACACCTGGCTAGCATTTTTTATTTTTATTTTTTGTAGAGGTGGGGTGTTATTATGTTTCCCAGGCTGGTCTGGAACTCCTGGCCTCAAGTGATCCTTTCACTTTGACCTTTCAAAGCACTGCGATTACAGGCATGAGCCACCACATCCAGCAACAAATTTGTTTTTACATATTTAAACTTTCTATTTGCCAGAAAGTATGCTAAGTGTTCAATTCTTACTAACTCTTTTAATCTTCATGACAACTCTTTGAGAAAGGTGTCATTATCATTCTCATTTTGAAGATGAAGAGTCTAATGTAAAGAGAATTTGTTGTTGGCCATGGCCACAAAGCTAGTAAGTGGCAGAGCTGGACTTGATTGCAATTCCAACTCCAGGATGCATCTTTTATCCCTATTCTTTGCTACCCCCCTGCAGTACCTGATGATAATAAGTCTTGGTGAGACTGTTGATTAGAAACTCTAATTCACTGCTGGTGGAAGTGTCATTGATATAAACAAATATTTTAGAGAAGTAATTCATTCTGTTTAACAAAGCTGAAGATTTGAAAGTATTTAGAAACCCTCTTTCCAGGAATATATCCTCAGATATATTTCACCCATTAGCACAAAAGGCATATATAGAAGTTTTCATTGAAGTGTCATTTACAAAGGTGAAAAATCATGAACACAGTAGTTATGCATCAACAGAATAATACATTTTTTAAATGTGTTATTCCAACAATAAAAAACTTCATGGCAATTCAACTGAATGGAATGGGTAAGTGTCTGTGATGGTGAATTTTATGTGTCAACTTTATTGGGCAATGAGGTCCTCAGACATTTGGTCAAACATTATTCTGGGTGTGTCCCTAAGGATGTTTCTGGATAAGATTGTTGAATCAGTAGGCTGAGTTAAGCTGATTACTCTCCTTAATGTGGGCAGGCCCCATCCAATCAGCTAAAGGCCTGAGTGGAACAAAAACGCTGACTCTCTCAAAAGTAAGAGTGTACTCTTTCTGTCTGATGGCTTGAGCAGTAACATCGGTCTTTTCTTACCTTAAGAATGGAACTGAATCCAGCTCTTCTTAAACCTTGGTTCATCCAGCTTTCATATTGGAACTTATCCCAACAGCTTTCTTATTTCTCAGGCATTTGGACTTGGATTGGAATGACACAATTAGCTCTCCTTCGGTCCATTTTACCAATTAAAGATCTTGGAATTTCTCGGCCCCATAATTGCATGAGCCAATTTCTTATTAAAAAAAAACTACTTTTCTTTATATATGTATATGCTATTGGTTTTCTCTAGAGAACTCTAATTAATATGGTATCGATATGGATAAACCTCACCAACAAAAATTAAAAGATTGAAAATCATACATAGTAAATGATTCTACTCACAAAATAATTTTGGAACACGCAAAGCAATAGTCTATGTTGTTCATATTAATCAACACAATAGTTAAATGTAAAACAATTTATGATATGACAATCAAAATAGAGATTAAATTGCAGAGGAAAAAGAGTAGGACCAGGAGAATTAAATACTATTTACTAATTATAAAATGTTCTAAAATGATTATAGCAAAGTTAAGATTCTTTAGACTAATTAGCATAAATGTACAACATTTTTCTCTTATCTAAAAATGTGAAATAGTTTACAATAAGAAGTAAGCATATAACAGTATAATTTGGAATATATGAATAAGACCATCTAATATAATAGACATATAAAGAAAACTTTCTTTAATTTTAATAAAATAATTTTAAATGTCTTTATTTTTTAGTTGTATTCACAAATTTCTCATAAAAATACATATTGACAAAAGTAAATTTGATAGCAAGGACTCTCCAAGTTATTAAACATTCTGAATTAACCATCTACTGAATATGTACATCTGTTAAGTTTTAGATTGTATGATAGTCATAACTGACATAAATGTCAGATACATGTTAGATATATCTTTGAATATTTAATTATATAAAAGATAGACATAAATGCTTGATATGGTTTGGTTCTGTGTCCCCATTCAAATCTCATGTCAAATTGTAATTCCCAGTGCTGGAAGAGGGACCTAGTGTGAGATGATTGCAACATGGGGCCAGTTTCTAATGGTTTAACACCATCCCCCTAGTGCTGCTGCTTGTTTAAAAGTGTGTCGCACCTCCGCCCCGCTCGCTTCCTCCTGCATCAGCCAGGTGGGACGTGCCAGCTTCCCCTTCACCTTCCGCCAGATTCTAAGTTTCCTGAGGCCTCCCCAGCCATACTTCCTGTACAGCTGGCAGAACCATAAGCCAATTAAACTTTTTCGCTTTATAAATTCCCCAGTCTTAGGTATATCTTTTTAGCAGTATGAGAATGGGCTAATCCAATGCTCAATAAAATTGCTGAAAATGTAGAATATACTAATTTAAAATACATAAGTATTTTTACACAAATAAAACTTGTTCTTCATATTGATACAGCTTCGCAACTACAATGGCAGATACAATATTTAAAACATCTAGGTAAATAAACAATTTAAATGCCATTCAGTATCCAAATGTGATATATTTTTATACAGCTAAATATGTATTTAGGGACAAGTTTTTATGAATATTTTTACATTTCTGCATGATTCAGGCTTTCAGAGAACATTGCGTAGGTTAAAATCATGTCAATCATGCCTTAGAAGTTAAGGACTGTGTATTGCTCCAGAGAGATTTAGAGACTTCTCTCTCCAGAGCCATTTGATTGCATTCCAGGGTAGAGACCTTTCTCTACATTTCCCAGAGAAAACTTGAATACATTCCAGGGAGCAGGTTTCTCTGTCATTTTCTCTAGAGTAGAAGAAGGATATGTATGCCAGTTGACCTATATGAGCTCTAAGTCTCATTAATTGTGGAGTTCCTCTCCTGTGGTAATGCCCGTGGCACACCCAGGTACATCTGGCTATCACCTTTTCACTGTGGGTATTAAGGCTTAGAGAAATAGTACAAGATGCATCTCTGACCACTGTTTAAGCTTTAACTGGTAAAGAATATATTATTTGGGCCAGGCGCAGTGGCTCAAGCCTGTAATCCCAACACTTTGGGAGGCCGAGGTGGGTGGGTCACGAGGACATCGAGATTATCCTGGCCAACATGGTGAAACCCCGTCTCTACTACAAATACAAAAATTAGCCGGGCATGGTGGCACGTGCCTGTAGTCCCAGCTTCTTGGGAGGCTGAGGCAGGAGAATCGCTTGAACCAGGGAGTCGGAGGTTGCAGTGAGCCAAGATAGCACCACTGCACTCCAGCCTGGGGACAGAGTGAGACTCCGTCTCAAAAAAAAAAAAAAAAAAAAAAAAAGAATATATCCTTTGATTCAGAAATCTCATATTATATATCACAATATGAATATCAATGTAACCTTTCAATATGCAGTGTACATTTGATTAGATGTGTGTAATTTCTACATAGTAAAGTATATTTTATTGTTTATTGAAACAGGTAGCCTATAACATGTTACGAAAGAAAATGAATCCATAAAATCTTAATAAGTATTAGTATCTTATATTAATGTATAACATGGTTTATTTTATATTTCTATTTGTTTATGACAAATAAATTATAAATACATTTATTGCAGGTCTATGTATTAAATGAAGCCAATAACCAGCAAGCCAAACCCATTTTCTTTATAATGTGGTGAAAGAGGGAAAATTAAAGCTTCATAATATATCTTTTTAAATGGGTCACACAGGAATGTATCATACGTTTGGCAGAAAATAAGGCATTGAAGGTTTATGTTCAGATAGTGGTGAAATCAGAGGAATAAATTAGAAAGACTAATCCATTTTTACAAAGGATGCATTAAAACGGGATGATGAGATATAAGTGAAGTAGGTGAGAAGTTCTTAGAAAATCACAGTAAGATACTGGATTAGTGTGGAGACAGTGAAGTAGCTGTGACAACAGAAATGTCAGAAATAGATACTTGGAGGAATAGATATGGCAATTGAATAGATGTTAGGTGGTCAAAGTCCTAAAATACGGAGGCTAAAAATTTTAATATATATAAAAAGGAAATAATCTTGGGAGGCTGAGGCGGGCGGATCACGAGGTCAGGAGTTCGAGACGAGCCTGACCAACATGGTGAAACCCCATCTCTACTAAAAGTACAAAAATTAGCCAGGCATGGTGGTGTGTGCCTGGAATTCCAGCTACTTAGGGGGCTGAGACAGGAGAATTGCTTGAACCTGGGAGGTGGAGGTTGCAGTGAGCCAAGATTGCGCCACTGAACTCCAGCCTGGCAACACAGCGAGACTCCGTTCCAAAAAAAAAAAAGAAAGAATCAGTAGCTATTCATTCAACCTAGATATCTAACAGTTAGTCCAAACTTGTGTGATTTTACTACATATGTATGTGTTTATATGTCGGCATAATTTTGGCAGTGCTCCATAATATTGACTACTTCACATACTCAAAACATTTTCTTTCCTCAATCAACTCCAGAGACATTTTTTAAATATTCTTCCAAACTTCTCCCTTAGCAAACTCATTTAACATGCTAATAACCTGTATCTGAAATCAGTATCTGAAGCTCATATTCTCTAGTCTAATCCAGAACTACATATACAAACTCAAAATATTATCTCCACAGGCGTGTCTCAAATGCCATTAAATTCAACATGATGGCTGGGCACAGTGGCTCATGCCTGTAATCCCAACACTTTGGGAGGCTGAGGCGGGCGGGTCACAAGGTCAAGAGATAGAGACCATACTGGCCAACATGGTGAAACCCCATCTCTACTAAAAATACAAAAATTAGCCAGGCGAGGTGGCGCACACCTCTAGTCCCAGCTACTCAGGAGGCTGAGGCAGGAGAATCGCTTGACCCCGGGAGGCAGAGGTTGCAGTGAGCCAAGATCACGCCACTGCACTCCAGCCAGGTGACAGAGTGAGACTCCGTCTCAAAAAAAAAAAAAAAAAAAAAAAAAAAAAAAAATTCAACTTAATTAGAATTGAATTTATTACATCAGAAAGTAAAATAAATAAATAAACAGATAAATAAATAAATCTCACAACTTTCCTTTTCCCACACTTGCCATCTAATCAATCACCTACCAATTCCACCTGACAATTATTTCTCAAAATGTTGCATTTCTCACCTTTCCCATTCCCCCATATTAATCCAAGTCACTATCATTTCTCCTAATAAAGAAGTCTACAATTCTTCTCTTATTTTCTCCCAATCTTTTTCATACATTTCAGAAACATAATTTTGAAATGCATATTAACTCATGTAAGTTACCTTTTAAAAATCTTTTAATGGCTTTCCATTAAGTAAATAAAAGAAATATTAAAACCCTTCTCATCCAGAAGGTTCTGCATTTCTAAATTCTTTTTATCTTGCCATGTTTTTATCAGAGGACTGGTATGTTTTTACCAGAGGACTGAAATGAACTCTCGTACTAGAAGCACCTTATCCTGTTTTATGTTTCCATACTAACATATAGTTCAATTTTTTAAACACATTCACTTGTAATTTCTAGATTAATGTTTGTCTTCATTAAACTGTAAGAACAATCACCATTTGTTCACCATTATATCTTCCAGGTTCAACACAGTGCTTGGAAAATAGTAGATCTAAAAATACGTACTTATTTAATATTGCGTGTGGTTGTTAATAATTAGTTTAGATGCAATATATTTCTACGAATCTGCAAATGTTAATGAATAATGAGAACACCAGCCCTAAAGTTTCTTTTGGTTTTGTTTTTGTTTTTATAGTTTTATTAATTGATATGAGGGAAATAAATGTATATTCAATCACTACTTGGTATATATACAGATGAAATGAAATTAGTATTTCAAGGGGATATCTGCACTCTCATGTTTATTGGAGCACTATATACAATAGCCAAGACATAAAAGCAATGTAAATATCCATTAACAGATGAATTGATAAAGAAGATGTATATATACACATAAAGGAATACTATTCGGCCATAAAAAGGAATGAAATTCTGTCATTTGTGCCAACATGGATGAGCCTAGAGGCATTATGCCAAGTGAAATAAGACAGGCACAGAAAGACAAACACCATATGAGTTCAGTCATATGTATAATCTAAAAAGTTGATCTCATAGAATAGTTTTTACCAAAAGGTGGGAGGAGTAAGTGGGGAGAGGAGATTAGGAAGAGGTTCGTTAATGGGTACAAAGTTACAGTTAAATAGGAGGAATAAGTTCTAGTATTCCATTGCATAGTACGGTAACTATAGTTAATAATATATGGTATATTTTTAAACAGAAGAGAGGATTTTACATATTTTCACCACAAATAAACGATAAATGTTTGAGGTGATGAATATGCTAATTACTTAATTTGATCGTTATAGATTGCATACATGCATCAGAACATTACACCGTACCCCATAAATATGTACCATTGTTATATGCACACTGTTTGATTATTTCTTACACTAGGATAAATTGGTGTTTACACTACTTTGAACCAAGGAAAACTGAGTTAAAAGAGGTTGCTTAGCCAATAAGTTTCCTAGGTCAGACTCTGGCAGATAATAAGATGTGAATCAGGATAAGTAAAGAACAGTTTGAATAATACATACCAAGGCATTGTAGTCTCAAGTGTCCCTAAGCAGGGAAGGCTGATAAACATTTTTCAGGCACCATTAGTAATTCTATCATATGCTTGTGCCATTTAGAAGGCTAGAGCAATTCAATGATTCACCACACCCACCACTAATCTTTCATTTCAAATGCTATTTACTCTGAGAAGAATATTAATTAAATCAGTTATATAGAGATATAGTCTCATCAAGTGCAAAAGCAAACACTTGAAGTACTCTCATCAAGACTGATATTAATATTAGGTTCATCTACAAAATCCCCTGAGTATCTGAAAAACACATACTTTAGGTTTTGAAAAATATTTGGTTCCAACATTTCAATTTATTCAAGTATTTTGTTTCATTTCCATAATCTGTTTTTGTGCACTGCTTTTTCATTTTAAAAAATGGGAGTGAGTTGAAATTAATTGCTTGGTTGCATGAGCCTTAATAATTACAAAATTCTCACATGGTTTATAAAGCACACTCCATTTTAAGAGATGCTTCTGATTAGGAAAAACTGAGTTAAAATGTGGTTTTATGTATGAATGCCCCTTTGGTGAAAAAATAGTCTGCTGAACTTTTAGATAGAATTATTAAAAAGTTTTATATTTTTCTATTACAATATCCTAGATATTGTTTACTTTCAATTTTCCTCTAATGCTCCAACAATCGTAGAGGGTATATTGGATAGTCTCCAGAAGGTATAGTCTTCTACAAATTTCTCCATGCCATGTAATTTCTAAGAACTTTGAAACCATGTATCTATGGTCTCAAATCTCTCATGCTTGTCACTTTTACGACTTGGTCTCTTTTGGTCCCTAAACCTCCAGGTTACCTCTTGCCACTAGTAACTGGCTTCTGGAAGTTCCTTTTACTCACACAATATAAGTATTAATAACGTGTCCCTTTTTCATTCCTCAAAGCCCGTCTTACAATAAGCCATTATATTTTTGGACTATTTTTACTGAAGGGACAAGAAAAACGTAGCAGAGAGGATAGCTGATGTCCTTGCCTAGCTGTCAGTGCACTAAAAGGAGGAAAGTCATCTCAGCTTCCACCAAAGTTATCTCTCCACTTCAGTGTCACAGCACAACTCTAGTTCCATCTTAGAGGGAAAAAAAGAAATTCTCTCTGCTCCAACCCAAGACTTCACCATTTCTTATTCCAGAATTTAATCCTTCTCAGGTGAGACACTTTTTACACGTTTTCTGGAAAAATTTCCATCTTCACCTAAAAAAGAGTATCTGGGAATCAAGACAACCATACTACTTGACAATATTTTCTGTACTTGACTTTTAAAACATCAAAGAGCATTGCACATCGCACACCAATAGAGCAGCACCCATTGACTCAGGATGGCCTCAATCCAGGCTGGCAAGCATTCTTCTAAAATAGGGTGAGGTCACTATCACTCTTTTACTCTTTTACTCTTCTTGAGGTGATCTGTCCTTCCAACAAATATAAGTAAATGTATAAATGTAAAGAACAATATCTCCCAAGAACAAATAATAGTTTTCAGTCATGGGATAACATAAACCCAAATTCAAGAAAAAATTAGTTTCTCTCCCTCAGTAGGAATGCACATTTGCATAAGATAAACCTAACTTCTATCATTAAACAGAAGACATCTTGCTTGGAAGCAGCTGCATTTTAATTACCTCTCTTTTTCAGGGTTACTCTATAAAGAGAGGGTAGATATTTGCTTTATACATGCGTGAGAGAAAGTGCAAATCAGCAGTCAGCTTCCCAGCCAATGTAAACAAACACAAAGTCCAATTTCTACCCCTAATCACAAGTACTCCAAGCAAACCCCAAAATAGCAGTTTTCAGGTTTTTGCATTTAAAAACTAAATCTTCATTACACACACACACGCCAAACACACACACACACACCCCTCACACCACACACTTCCAAAAACCCAATAGTCAGTGACTCTCTTTGTTCATTCCTTGAGGAACGCTGACATACTATAAACTTCCTCTAACTTCTATTACTTTTCTTCCTGGCCACCTCTAATTAACCTTCTTCTTCTTAAATCTTGTAAATCATTAAGCAATTAATCATGCACTGCTTTGGAAAATCTTTTCTATTTTTTTTTTCAGTATTGCTTTTAATAGCACATTTTTGTCTTATCTTTCCACCTCAATTTTATGCTTGGAGGGTACAATTGTGGAGAGGAGAGGCAGATTTGTTTCTCAAATTTGTTTTCACTGTTTCTCTGTACCCAATAGGTAACCATTAAATATATGTTAAGCCTATTCTATGAACATGTTCAGAATAATGTGGTCTCTATTGTCTTTTATTAACCCATCATACTATCTATAAATTAACATTATTTTGGTACCACTGAAGGTTAAATATGCTGGCTCAGGCAATACTCTCATCCTACCTCCTAAATTAGAAATGACGCAAATTTTAATAATTCCCTTTTCATTCTTGCTAGGTTAATTATTCAATAGTTTGTCTAAAACTTTACCTGAGCAAAATCTGGGAAACTATACCTCTTTCTCCAATTCCTGTGTCTACTTTAGCTTAGGACTCACCTGGAACATTCTAAGGACTGACTAATAATTTCCCATCCTATATCCAATGAACATGACTACTCACCCCAGTGTTTCTACTATCCCCATAAACATATTGCTGCACAAAACATTGATTTTGTCACACTCTTGATTAAAATATTCCAATATTTTCCTATTATAATCTTAGCTTATTATCAAAGATCTTTTCATCTGATTTCATTTTTCCTCTTCAGTCTCATACTGACCAAATTATATTATACATGCTACATCCTGCCATACTGAAATTTTTGCTTCACCTTGGATATACCACTTACCATGTACATGTATATATTTTGACATAAACAAAAGCATGTCAGCACATTCTATTTGCAAAGCACATTTGTCCTTCAAAACACAAGCCAAATATTACCTCTACTACAAATCTGTTCACATCCCTTCAAGGTAAAATTATTAACAGCTCTCTAATTTGTATTTTTACAGCACTTTGTTTATATCTGTCATGATATTTTTAGTGTTTGTTGTTTGTGATTTGCTTTTATGTATGGCTGTTTTTCCTTGTTCTTCTATGGAAATAACGACTTATTTATACCCCAAATATAGCATGGCAGAAAAAATGCACAAACTTACAAGTTATAAAGATATAAGTTAAAATTCTAAATGTGTCATTCATTGGATTCAATCTGAAACTCAACATTGATCAGCTGTAGGAAAATCATTCCACCTCTCCTCCAGTGCAATCATAATACAGGGCTTATAAGATTTATCTAATTGAGTGGTCATAATTATCAATGGATTTCATATCTGTATATGGAAGGCTCTCTTTAAATGAAAAATTTTATTATATCATATTAGAAAATAGTTGAGTAAATGAATTCCTTTACTTTAGTATTTTCATAAATTGTCTATGTGATTTAGCTTTTGGCCAATGAGCCTGCATCCACTAACAACAAGTTAAGAAAAAGAAATATAAAACTAGTTCTGCTTAGACGTAAAAAGCTGTAAAGAGTATTGGTCCCATCCCAACTATAAAAAAGGAGTAGGAAAAACATACAATCACAATTTTTTTACACCTATCAGAGAGCAGATAGGAGTAAAAATGGCACCCAAGTAACTAAGCAAATTCCAAAGAAAGACAAACTTCACCACGGAGAAACAAGGTGTAAAAAAACACCTTGCAGATAAGAAAAAATAGCTAAAATCTTATTAAACTGCCAAAATCCAAGTGTAGGCAAGTTTGTTTGAATTAGTTGATTCCTAGCTATAAAGGGAGTCTCCACACATTTGCAAAATCTTTCTCATAGCTGTCTGCCAGTTGAAACAAGAAAGATTGGAAGCAGGACGTGAGTGTAGAGTCATGCATTTGAGAGCTGATATTTGGGATCTGGGAAGAAACAGTAATTAAGTACTGCACACGTCTCTGGACCTTTACCTGCTATGAAATGAAAGCCTAAGTCTGCTAATATAAAGGCAGAAAAGTCTGTCATACCCAGTACACAGGTGCAAAGATCCTATGGCTAGGGAAGTAATAGAAGAACAAACTCTACTTCAGCAAAGAACAGGGAACAACCTTGGACCTAAGATCCCATATTGACCTCAAAGAGTAGTCTCTCATTGCTAGCTGAGGGAAAGGAAACTTCTGATAAAACAGACAATCAAGAGAAGAGGAGCTAGAACGCTGACAAATCCAGAAATTCAACCCAAACTCTACAAACAACTCAAAAGCAACGCAAAGTAAAGAAATTTGAAGCAAGCGAAAATAGTAATAGTAATAATAAAACCCACATTCAGCTCAACTCCCAAACAGGTGAACTCAAACCTATGCTTCACTAACAACTTGAAGAAGAGGCACAATTTTTCAAGGCATAAAAAGCATTGACAGCCTTTTACTCTTTTACTCTTCTAAAATAATGTCTTGGTAGGGTGGAGCAAGATGGCAGAGTAGAAGCCTACACCGTTGGTCTCCCCAAATGGAAAAGCAAATTTTAACAATTATCTGCACACGGAAAGGCACCGTCACAAGAACCAAAAATCAGACGAGCAATCGCAGTACCTGGTTTTAACATCATATGATGGAAAGAGGCATTGGGGATGGCAAGAGAGAATCTTGAATTGCAGAAGTCATCCCTTCCCCATCCCCCAACAGCATCTGTGCAGGGTACAGAGAGAGAATCTGTGCACTTTGCAGAGGGGGAGGGTGCAGGAACTGGAGGACTTTACATTGAACTCAGTGCTGCCCTGTCACAGCAGAGAATAAAGCTGTGCTGGAATCAGCCAATGCGCATGAACTGAGAGAGTATTTTGAACCGCCCTAGCCAGGGGGAAATTGCCCCTCCCAGCAGTCGGAATTTGAGTTTCTTGGCAGGCCTCAGGCTGAAGTGCTCTGGGGTCCTAGGTAAAATTGAAGGCAATCTAGGACAAAGGACTGCAATTCCTAAGCAACTACTAGTGTTAGGCTGGGCTTACAGCCAGTGAACTAGGACGGCACGTGACCTAGGGAGATACCAACTGTTATGGCTAAGGGAGGTCTTATGAGATCCCTACCCCAACTTCAGGCAGTGCCGCTCTTGGCTACAAAAGTGACTCCTTCCTTCTGCTCAAAGAGAGGAGAACAAAGAGTAAAGAAGATTTTGTCTTGCATCGTGGGTACAGCTCAGCCACAGTAAGATAAGGCACTGGGCAGAGTTACAAGGCTCCCACTCCAGGCCCTGGCTCCTAGGCAATATTTCTAGACACACCACGGGCAGAAAAGGAAGCTGCTGCCTTAAGGAGAAAACCTCAGTCCTGACAGGATTAATCACCTGCTGACTAAAGAGCCCTTGAGCCCTAAATAACCCCCAGTGATACCCAGGGAGTACTCTGTGGGCCTTGGGTTCTGAGATGTGCTAGCTTCAGGGCAGACCCAGCACATTCTCAGCTGTGCTGCCTATGGTGAAAGACTCCTCTTGTTTGAGAAAACCACAAGTAAAAGAGAAGGGGAATTTGTCTTGCACCCTATGTACCAGATTGGCCACAGGTGGGTAAAGCAACAAGCAAGCTCTTGGGGTCCCTATGTCCAGATCTAGGCTCTTGGACAGCATTTCAGGACCTGGCCTGAGCTAGAGGGAAGGCCGCAGCCCTGAAGGGTGAGTCCCAGGCCTAGTAACATTCGCCATAAGCTGACAGAAGAGCCCTTGCACTTTAAGTGATCATTGGCAGTCACCTGTCAGAAATCCTGTGGACTGGTGGAGGAGATAGTCACAGGGCAGAGCTCCTCTGCCTGTGGAAAGAGGAAGGAAGAGCGAAAAGGACTTAGTATTTTGTTTGAATGCCAGCTCTTAGCCATGGTAAAATAGAACACCAAGTAAAAGCTAAGATTTTTTTACTCCAGTTCCTATCTCCTAGACAGCATCTCTGTATATGTACAGGGCCTGGGGGAACTCATTACCCTGAAGCGAAGGGCCTTGGGCAGGGACCAGTGATGTGCTGACTTCAGATTTTTCCCAGCACAATGCTAGTGGTGGTGGCCATAGGGGTGCTTGCGTTACCACACTCCCAGTTCCAAGTGGCTCAGCACAAAGAGACTCTGTATGATTGGGAGAAAGTCAGGGAAAAGAACAAGAGTCTCTGCAATTCTTCAAGATCTTATCCAAGACTACCAAGGTGGTACCTCTTCAAGTTGCAAAACCACAGCAGTTCAGACTTGGAATCCAAGTCTGTTCAAATACCTGAAAAGCTTTCCCAAGAAAGACAAGCACAAACAAGCCCAAGCAGTGAAAACTGCAATAATTACCTAATTCTTCAAAGCCCCGACGCTGAAGAACACCTACAAGCATGAACACCATCCAAAAAAACATGTCCTCACCAAACAAACTAAGTACGGCACTAGGGATCAATCCTGGAGAAACAAGGGTAGGATATATAACCTTTCAGACACCAAATTCAAAATAGCTGGTTTGGGAAAACTCAGAGAAATTCAACATAACACAGAGAAGGAATTCAGAATTATGTCAGACATATTTAACAAAAAATTGAAATAATTTAGAAGAATCAAGCAAACATTATAGAGATAAAAAGAGACGTTATAACTGTTACTGCAGAAATTCAAAGAATCATTAGTGGCTACTATGAAAAACTACATGTCAATTAATTGGAAAATCCAGAAGAAATGGATACATTTCTAAACAAATACAATCTACCAAGATTGAATCACGAAGATCTCCAAAACCTGAACAGAACAATAACAAGTAACAAGATCAAATTCACAATAAAGTCTCCCAGTAAAGAAACACTTGAGACCTGACAGCTTCACTGCTGAATTCTGTGAAACACTTAAAGAAGAATTAATACCAATCCTACTCAAACTCTTCTGAAAAGTAGAGAGAGAGTGAATATTTGCAAACTCATTCAATGAAGCCAGTATTACCCTCATACCTAAACTAGACAAAGACACAACAAAAAAGAAAACTACAGACCAATATATCTGATCAACGTTGATGCAAAAATCCTCAACAAAATACTAGCAAACCAAATTCGACAATACATTAAAGAAAATCATTAATCATGACCAAGTGGGATTTCTCCCAAGGATGCAAGGATGGTTCAACATATGCAAATCAATCCGTGTGACCCATCATATCAACAGAATGAAGGACGAAAACCATATGATCATTTTAATTGATGCTGAAAAAGTACTTAATAAAGTTCAACATCCCTTCATAATAAAAATCTTGAAAAAACTGGGTATAGAAGGAACATACCTCAACATAATAAAAGCCATATATAATAGACCCACAGCTAGTATCATACTGAATGAGAGAAAATTAAAAGTCTTTCCTTTTAGATCTTCAATGAAACAAGGATACCCACTTTCACTACTGTTACTCAACATGGTAATGGAAATATTAGCTAGAGCAAGAAGATAGGAGAAATAAATAAAGGGCATCCAGCTTGGAAAGGAGGAAGTCAAGTTATTCTTGTTTGCAGATGATATAATCTTAAATTTGAAGAACCTACCAAGAGTCCATCAAAACACTATTAGAACTGATAAATTCATTAAAGTCACAGGATACAAAATCAACATACGAAAATCAGTAGCATTTCTATATGGGAAAAGTAAACAATCTGAATGAGAAATTTAAAAAGTAATCCCATTTACAAAAGCCACACACACACAAATAAAATACCTAGGAATTAACTTAAACAAAGAAGTGAAATATTTCTATAAACAATAAGTTAAATATCTGTTTATAATGAAAACTATAAAACAATAATGAGAGAAATTGAAGAAAACACACAAAATAAAAAGGTATTCCATGTTAATGAACTGGAAGAATCAATACTGTTAAAATGTTCATACCACAAAAAGCAATCTACAGATTCAATACAATTCCTATTAAAGTATCAATGACATCCTTCACAGAAATGGAAAATACAATCCTAAAATTTTTGTGGGATCACAAAAGACCCAGATTTGCCAAGCCTGTCATGAGGAAAAGGAACAAAACTGGAGGAATTGCATTATCTGTCTTCAAATTATTCTACAGAGCTATAATAACCAAAACAGCATAATACTTGAGTAGAAACAGACACATAGACCAATGAAACAGAATAAAAAACACGGAACAAATCCACACACCTACAGTGAACTCATTTTTGACGAAGGTGTGGAGAACATACACTGGGGAATATCTCTTCAATAAATGGTGCTGGGAAAACTGGATATTAATATGCAGAAGAATGAAAATAGGTCCCAGTCTCTTACCATATACAAAAATGAAAACAATATGTATTAAAGACTTAAATATAAGACCTTAATCTATGAAACTACTGCAGGAAAGCATTTGGGAAACTCTTCAGGGCATTAGATTCGGCAAAGACTTTTTGAGTCATACTCACCAGCACAGGCAACCAAATCAAAAATGGACAGATGGAATTACATCAAATTTGAAACTTCTGCACAGCAAAGGAAACAATCAACAAAGTAAAGAACCAACCCAAAGAATGGGAGAAAATATTTGCAGTCTACCCATCTGACAAGGGATTAATAACCAGAATATATGTGGAGCTCAAACAACTCTATAGGAAAAAAAATTAATAATCCAATTTAAAAATGGGTAAAATACTAGAATAGACATTTCCCGAAAGAAGACATATAACTGGCAAACAGACATATGAAAATGTGATCAACATTATTGATCATTACACAAATGCAAATCAAAACTACAATCACGTTATCTCATCCCAGTTGAAATAGCTTATATCCAAAAGACAAGCTATAACAACTGCTGCTGAGAATGTGGAGAAAAGAGAACCCTCATATGCCGTTGGTGAGAATGTAAGTTAGTACAAACAGTATGGTGAACATTTTGGAGGTTTCTCAAATAATGAAAAATTGAGCTACCATGTGATCCAGCAATGCCACTGCTGGGTATATACTAAAATAAAGTAAATCAGCATATCAAAGAGATATCTGTGCTCTCATGTTTGTTGCAGCACTATTCGCAATCACAAAGACTTGAAATCAACCTAAATTTCCATCAACAGATGAATAGATAAAGAAAATGTGGCATGTATACATGGTGGAGTACTATTCAGCCATAAAAAATAATGAGGTTCTGACATTTGCAACCACATGGAAGGAACTGGAGGTCATTATGTTAAGTGAAATAGGTGAAGCACAGAAAGGCAGACATCACAGGTTCTCATTTATTTGTAGGATCTAAAAAACAAAACAATTGAACTCATGGAGATAGATAATAGAAGGATGGTTACTAAAGGGTGGGAAGGGTAATGGAGGGACAGAGGGAAGTGGGGATGTTTAATGAGTACAAAAAAATTGTAAGAAAAAATGAATAGTATTTGACAATGCAGGTGGGGGACTTAAGCCAATAATAATTGTATGTTTAAATATAACTAAGAGAATATAATTGGATTGTACGTAATACAAAGGATGCATGCTTGAGAAAATAGATACCCAATTTTCTAACACGTGATTATTACGTATTGCATACATATAGCAAAATATTTCATGTACCCAAAAATATACACACCTACTATGTAGCTACAGAAACTAAAAATTATTTTAATGAATAATGTCTGACTTTCAGTCATAGATTTCAAGATATTAAAATATAAACAAGGAAAAACAAAGGGACAGAAAACCTCAAATATATGTGTATTTTATATTATATATACATAAAATATTATTTTTAATATATGTATGTATATATAAACATATATATACATAAAATAAGCTGCACCAGAATAAGAGATGGCCCTATGTCATTAACCATCCAATGAAAACTTTAAAATAATTATGATTAAAATATTTGTCTTTCAGTGTAGTGGGGAAAACAAAAAAGACAACATAAATAAACAGATAGCTCCAACAGAGGTGAAAACTACATGAAAGGGTCAAGTATTATACAAATATAGGGAAAAAATTTTGTGAAGACACACAGGAGAAAAATTCACTTGGTAGGCTCATAAGTAGATTCAAAATAGTTAATTAAATAAGTAGTAAACTTAAAGATAGTTCAATAGAATTAGCTGAACTGAAACACAAAGAGAGAAAAGATAGGGAAAGTAGCGAAAAGATTAAATAATTACATAAGTAGTAAACTTAAAGATAGGTTAATAGAAATTATCTAAACTGAAATACAAAGGGAGAAAAGATAGGGAAAAGGGCAAAGAGATTATCCAGAAGCTGTGCAAAATTTTAAGTGGTCTAGAAAGTATTTATTTGAGTTCTAGAAAAAGCAGGAAGAGAACATAGCAGAGTATATATTTGAAGTAATTTATGGTAGAGAACTTTCAAAAAATAATGAAAGACTTAAATAACATATTTAACAATCCCAATCAGGATAAACTCTCTCTCTCTCTCTCTCTCTCTCTCACACACACACACACACACACACACACACACACACACTTTATGCAAAATCTGAATAGCAAACAGTAGTGGGTGGAGATAGAGAGGATGTACATTATGTATAAAAGACCAAATATCTGAATTACAGCAGACATTTTGCCAGGAATTATGGCAAGCTAGAAAATACCTCCAATGTGGTAAAAGTAAAAGCCTGTCATTTCAGAACCTTACACCCAATAAAAATCTGTTTCAAAAATGAAAGTTGTTTTTTTTTTTTGGTGGAGGGGGACAGAGTCTTGCTCTGTCAGCCAGGCTGGAGTGCAGTGGCATGATCTCGACTCACTGCAACCTCTGTCTCTCGGGCTGAAGCAATTCTCCTGCCTCAGCCTCCCGAGTAGCTGGGCTTACGGGCATGTGCCACGACACCCGACTAATTTTTGTATTTTTAGTAGAGATGGGATTTCACCATGTTGGCCAGGCTGGTCTCGAACTTCTGACCTCAGGCAATCCACCCGCCTTGGCTTCCCAAAGTGCTGGGATTACAGGCCTGAGCCACCACGCCCAGCCAAGTAAAGACTTTTATAGACCAACAAAAGCTGGAAGTTCCTTGCCAGGAGACTTATGATGTGGGCAATGTTAAAGGAAGTTCTTCACACAGAAGAAAAGTGATACCAAGCAGAAATTAGTTTATGCTCCAGACATAATAAAAAAATAAAAATCAGTTTTTAAAAATACTTTTTATCTTTATTTTTAATGACATTGAGATACTTTATAGTCAAAGGGATAATTAATACAAATATAGGGCTTATTACATTCATAAATAAAATGTATAACAATACAAAGATTGTAAGGAAGGAACTGAAAATTTTGTAAATTTTACTATATATATTTGAAGTAGAATCAGATTATTGGAAAGTTTGTTTTGATTTACAAAAGACCTATATTGCTAGTCCTAGGAAAATTGCAAACATTTATAAAAAGATATACCATTGAGAAAAGTAATCGTAAAAAATTCACAGTTAGTTTGAAAGCAGGAAGAAAAAGTAGAAAATTGGACAAAAAAAAGTAAGAGAAACAGAAAGTAAATAGGAAATGGTAGATTTTAATTCAAATGTGTGTATTGTTACATTGAATGTAATAAACCCAAATAAAAGTTAGAGATTGTCAAATTGCATTAAAAACAAAACCAACTAAATCCTGCCTATGAGAAATCCACTGTAAGTATAAAAACATACATAAGTTAAAAGTAAGGTGATTTCTAAAATAAAATATTGAAAAACTACGCCATGCAATCTATTTTAAAAAGGGAAATGAATACATCAATGTCCAAAACAAGTTAATTAAACTTGTAAAAGAACAAGGATAAGT
Source organism: Homo sapiens (assembly GCF_000001405.40). Classification (NCBI taxonomy): domain Eukaryota; kingdom Metazoa; phylum Chordata; class Mammalia; order Primates; family Hominidae; genus Homo; species Homo sapiens. Next base: position 105,073,030 of record NC_000003.12, read on the forward strand.
AACTTGTTTGAGAAGAAAGATAAGGAGGAATGTTGCTTAATGATAAAGGGACCAATTCATGAAGAAGACATAAAAATTCTATACATGAATGAATGAATGAGTCAAAAAAGATCTTAAAAATGCATAAAGTAAGACAAATAGAATTGAGAGAATAGAGAAATACACAACTAAAGACACTAATAGTTCTCTTCCACTAGTTGATAGAACAAATAAACAGAAAATCAGTAAGTATGTAAAAGATCTAAGTAACACTATAACTGATTTGTCAAAAAAATTTACAAGAGAATGACACTAAATAAACCAATAGTAGAGATAAAATCGAGTAATAAAAAATACTCAGAAGAAATGAAGTAAAAATAAAAAGAACAGAGATAAGACAAATACAAAATGAATAACCAGATGGTATTTTAAAATACAGCTATATTACTAATATTACCAATTTGTATAAAAACTTAAAACAAAAGGCAGTTTATCAGATTAGGTTTTTTCAAAGCCAGCCCTTCTGTTTGCTGTCTACATAAAACTCAACTTTAAATATAATGACATAGATAGACTAAAATTAAAAGGATAAGAAAAGATAACCAAGCAAAAGCTTTGACAGCAAGAGTTGCTATATTAATAAGAAAATAAATTTTAGAACAAACAGTATTATCAGAATGATAATCAAACTACATAATGATTTCTGTAGGGGGTCAGTTCATTAAGAAAATGTAACAGTCCTTACCATTCATGCATCTAAATGCATAAAGCAAAAATGTATAGAACTAGAAAAGTGTATAGACAAATGCAGAATTATATATTAACACTTTTATCTCAGTATTTGTTACAACAGAAAGACAAAAAAATCTTATTAAAACATGACAGATTTAACTATACTACCACCCAACCTAATCTAATGATATTTGTGTAACATGCCCATCAAACAACAGAAAAAAACACATGTACAAGTGCAAATGAACCTTTACCAAGATAGAATATCTTCAGGGTCATAAATATAAATCCTCCACCAATGTAAAAAAAATACTTGAAATAATACAAAGTATGTTCTTTAAGCATATCATAATTAAGCTTGGAGTCAATAACAGATATCTAGAAAATCTTCAAATATTTAAAAATTTAAAAAATTCTAATGTGCTAATGAGTGAAAAGGAAAGTCGCAAGAAAATATTAATATTAAAATAAGTGAACTGAATGAAAGAAAGGTAACAACATTTGTGTGAAGCAACAAAAGTAGAGCTTAGAGGAAACTTTATAACATTAAATGCTTACATTAGGAAAGAAAAACTTATCAAAGTAATGATCTAAGAATTTTTCACATGAAAATTTGAGTGAGGAAAAAATTAAACACAAAGCAAGTATTTATAAGGGAATAACAAAAATAACATAAATCAATAAATTCAAAATGACTAATAGAGAAAACCAATTCGTATAAAACATGGATCTTTGTAAAGCTCACTAAAATTGGTAAACTATTGAAAAGACCATCTAACAGCAACCAAACAGAGAGTATACAGACATAAATTATCAACATTGGGAATGAAAGAGGAGCGTAACTGTAGATTTTAAAGATTGCCTAAGTATAATAACCAATTTTTATATTAAAAATTAAGAATGCAGATGAAATGAAAATAACCCCTTTAAAGACAAAATATTATGCCAAGCTCCATCTAGATGTAATAGGAATTGTGAATAATCTTACACCAATTAAGGTAATTAAATTTGTATTCAAAAACAATCCCAGGATTAAAACTCCAGGCCTAAACACTTAAACTAGAAATACTACCATGTTTCCCATAAGACTGGGAACACTCACTATCTCACTGAAAATTCTAGCCAGGACAACAAGGTAAGAAAATTAAATAAAATTCACAGAGATTGCAAAAAAATAAAAATAAACTTGCCTCCATTGGAAAATATGAGTGTCTACAAAGAATATTCCAAAGATTCTATGAAAAATATTATTAGAACTAATAAATGAATGTAGCAAAGTTATAAGATAGAAAATTTCTCCATGAAAGTCAATTGTATTTTTAAACTAGCAATGAACAAAATGAAAATAATTGTATGAAGTACCATTTAAAATAACACAAATCCATGAAATGTTTAGAAATAGATCTACCCAATTATTTGCAAGATTTGTATGTTGAAATATAAAAAAAGTTGATGAGATCAAGCAAAAAATTTATATAAATGAAGAGATATACCATGTTCATAGATAACTCTATATTGTTAAGATGCCATTTTTCCCCAAATGGATTTAGAGTCAATATAATTCCAGTAGAAACCAAAGCAGGCTTATTTTATTTTCTTTCATTTAATTAACAAGCAGATTCTAAAATTTATATAGAAAAGCAAAGAGTGTAGCATAAACAAAACAATTCTGAAAACTTAAAACAACTTGAAGGTCTATACTTTCTGACTCAAAACACATTGTGAAGCTAAAGTAATCAAGGCCAGAGGCTGATGCAGAAGACCACTTGAGGCCAGGAGTTTGAGATCAACCTAGACAATATAGCAAGACTTCGTCTTTAAACAAAATTTAAAAATTAATTTAAATTACATTCCTGTAGTCATAGCTACACAGGAGGTTGAGGGTGGAGAATTGCTTGAGCCCAAGAGCTTGAGACTCTGGTGACTATAATCATGCCACTGCACTCCAGTCTGGAAAAAAAAGTGAAACCCTGTCTCCTAAAAAAAAAAAAAAAAAAAGGAAAGTAAAGTAACCAGTAAGTGTAGTATTGACAGATAGATAAATACAAAGGTCAATGAAACAAAATAGAGATTCAGGAAATAAAGTCACACGTGTGGGACAATTTATTTTAATAAAGGTGTAAAGGTAGTTCAATAAAAAATAAGATAATTTGAGCAATACAGCAAGAAATTATGGACCTCCACAAGCAAATAAGTTAACCTCTATTTTATATCCTGCAACATATACAAAATACACAAGTAGATCATTGATCTAAATGTAAAATTCAAAATTAATGTCTCCAAAAGCATAAGAGAAAATATTTGTGACCACAGATTAGGAAAAGACTTTTAGATATCACACTAAAACAAAACCAACGTAAGAAAGATTTGAAACACTGAACTTCATCAAAATTAAAACCATTGATTTTTAAATTTTTACATTTATTATTTATTTATTTATTTAGGTTGGGTCTCACTCTGTCACTCAGACTGGAGTGCAGCCTCAATCTCCAAGAATTAAGGGATCCTCCTATCTCAGCCATGCCCAGCTAATTTTTATTTCTTTTTTTTTGTAGAGATGGGGCCCCACTATGTTGCCCAGGCTTATCTCACACTTTTGGACTCAAGCGATCTTTCCACCTAGACCCCTCAAAGTGCTGGTATTACAGGCATGAGCCACAGAGCCCAGCCAAAAAAACAGTTGTTTCTTAAAAGACACTATTACGCATATAAAAACTGAAGCCACAGATTGTGAGAAGATATTTGCTAATTGTATATTTGATAAAGTACTGGTGTTTAGGATATAAAAAGAATGCTCAAAACTTAATAACAAATACCCCCTAAATCCAAAAAATGGACAAAAAATTTACACACTTGACCAAAGCAAATACACAAATTATCACCAAAAGATTTTCAACATAACTAGTTATCAGGGAAATTCAAATAAATTGTAACCACTATAAGATGTCACAAATGGATAAAACCTAAACCTGAGAATACAAAGTACTGATGAAAATATTGCAGTAACTTGAACTCTCATACATTGCTGGAATGAAAAATTGTATAATCACTTTGGAAAATGATTTGGCAATTTCTTATAAAGTTAAACATATATTTGCCAGGCAACCCAGCAACTCACTACCAGATGTTTATCCAAAAGAAAATGAAGATGTATATGTACACGAAAACCTGTACATAAAAATTTATAGCAATTGTATTAGGCAGCAAAGCCTGCCCTAGAAAATATCATAAACAATGTAGATTAAACTATGGAAATATATTTTCTCACAGTTTTGGAGGTTAGAAATTTAATGTCAATCTTCTGGCAGAGTCAGTTTCTGGTAAGGGCTCTTTTCCTGGCTTGCAGAGAGCCACTGTCTGTGTCCTGACATGGCCTTTGTTTTGGTGTATGCACATGGAGGTGGGGGAAGTTATCCGATGTCTCTTCTCCTAAGGAAACAAATTCTATTGCATCAGGGATCCTTTTATGAACTTATTGAATCTTAATTACTACCTCATATGACTCATCTGCAAATACAGCCACACTGAGAGTTAGGCCTTCAACATGTTTTGGGATGACATAAACATTCAGTGCATAATATTCCACATCTGCTTGCCCCAAAATGTATATCCTTGTCAAATGCAAACTACATTTATTCCATTCTAACAGCCACAAGAGTCTTAACTCATTCCAGCATCAACTCTAAAGTCGCATGTCCGATCTTATCTAGACATCATTTAAATCAGATACAGGTGAGACTGAAGGCATAACTCATCCAGAGATAGAATTTCTTCTCCCCAGCCATAAACCTTTGAAAACAGACAAGTATGTGCTTCCAAAATGTCATTTAGGCCCTTTTGGTAGTAGTATCATATCCATAAATCTGCATGGTGGCCCCACCCCTTCAGCTCAGAGAGGTAGCTCAGGCCCAATGTTTCCCTATGACAGCCCCATCCACATGGCTCTCTTTAGTGGTTGCCTAGCCTGCTGAAAATGAGGGGGATGACCCAGTGAAACTGAGAAGAAAGCAGGCTTATATCCAGGGTCTATAGCGAGAGTGGTAGCCCTGATGATCTCTGTATTACTTTCAGGATTATTCATCCATTATTTTTGAAAGATAAAGCATGTGTGCAGCCCATTAGCTCTATTTTCTCCTCCTGTAGAATCCAAGAAGTTAGATAAGCTTTTTTTTTATTGTATTTGATCTCATATTCTCTGTGCCCTTTAGTTCAAACTGGTAGTGTTTCTGATTATGTAATCCCATCTCTATTCCTGGCTTTTCCTGAGATGGATGGTTAAACTAATAAGTCACTCTCATGATCTGAGTATAGAATTATTGCTCAGTCACACTTTTAGCATTCTTATTGGAATATGCTTCCTCATTTTTTGGAATACAAATAGGCTGAGAATTTTTCCAAATCTTCTAATTCTGTTTCCATTTTGCTTAATGATTTATCTTTTCTCTTTCAATTTATTCTGCTCCTCTTACATTTTACTATCAGTAGTAAGAACAAACCATGCTGCTCCTTCAACACTTTGATTTGAAAGCTCCTCAGTTAAATATTCAATTTCAATGCTCCCAACTTCTACCTTCCAAAACACACTAGAACACAATTCAGTCAAGTTCTTTGACCCCTTTTAACAAGGATTGCTTTTCCTCCAGTTGCAAATAATATGTTTCTCATTTCCCTCTAAGACCTTGCCAAAATGGCCTTTGATGTCCATATTTTTGTCAATATTTTGTTTATGCTAATCTACATATTTTCTAAGACAATAGAGGTTTTCACTATACCTTTCCTGTTTTCTTTCTGAGCCCTCACCAGAATCATCTTTAACATACATGCTTTTACTGAAAGTCCCTTTAAGCCAATCTAGCCTTTTCTAGCATGCAACTCTGTATTAGTTCATTTTCACATTGCTAAAAGAACTATCTATGAGTGAGTAATTTATAAAGAAAAGAGGTTCAATTTACTCACAGTTCTGCATGGCTGTGGAAGCCTCAGGAAACTTACAATTGCAGGTGAGGGGGAAGCAAGGCACAACTTACATGGTGACAGGAGAGAGAGAGAGCTAAGCGGGAAGTGCCACACACTTTAAAACAACCAGATTTCATGAGACCTAACTTACTATCACGAGAACAGCATGAGGGAACCACCCCCCATGATTCGATCACCTCCCTGATTCAGGCCCCTCCCCTGACATGTGGAGATGATAATCCAAGATGAGATTTGTGTGGGGACAAAGAGTCAGACCATATTATTCCACCCCTGGTCCCTCCTAAATCTCATGTACATCTCACATTTCAAAACCAATCATGCCTTCCCAACAGTCCCCCAAACTCTTAATGCATTCCAGCATTAACTCAAAAGTCCAAGTCCAAGTCTCATCTGAGACAAGGCAAGTTCTTTCCGCCTATGATCCTGTAAAATTTTTTAAAAGTTAGTTACTTCTAAAATATAATAAGGGTACAGGCGTTGGGTAAATGCTCCCATTCCAAAAGGGAGAAATTGACCAAAACCAAGGGCTACAAGCCTCCAGGTAAGTCCAAAACCCAGCGGGGCAGTCCAGTCATTAAATCTTAAAGCTCCAAAATAATCTTCTTTGACTCTAAGTCTTATATCCAGCACATGCTGTTACAAGAAGTGGAATCCCAAGGCCTTGGTCAGCTCCACCCCTGTGGCTCCGCAAGGTACGACCCCTGCAGCTGCTTTCACAGGCTGGTGTTGAATGCCTGTGGCTTTTCCAGGTGCACTGTGAAAGCTGTCAGTGGATCTACCATTCTGGGGTCTGGAGGACGGTGGCCCTCTTCTCACAGCTCCACTAGGTAATACTCCAGTGGGGACTCTGTGTGGGGGCTCCAATCCCACATTTCTTCTCTGTACTGCCTTAGTAGAGGTTCTCCATGAGGGCTCCACCCCTGCAGCAGATTTCTTCCTGGACATTCAGGCATTTCCACACATCTTCTAAAATCTAGGTGGAGGTTCCCAAACCTCAATTATTGTCTTCTGTGCACCCACAGGCCCAAAACCACATGGAAGCTGCCAAGGCTTGGTTGGGGCTTGCACCCTTTGAAGCAATGGCACAAGCTGTACCTTGGCCCCTTTTAGCAATGGCTGGAGCTGGAGTGGCTGGGACACAGGGCACCATGTCCCAAGGCTGCATAGAGAAGTGGGGCCTTGGGCCTGGCCTAAGAAACCATTTTTCCATCCTAGGCTTCCAGACCTGTAATGGGAGGGGATGTCACGAAAGTCTCTGACATGCCCTGGAGACATTTTCCTCATTGGCTTGTGTATTAACATTTGGCTTCCCTTTACTTATGCAACTTTCTACAGCTGACTTGAATTTCTCCCCAGAAAATGTTTGTTTCCCTTCTACCATGTGGTCAGGCTGCAAATTTTCCAAGCTTTTATGCTCTGCTTCCTTTTTAAACATAAATTCCAATTTCAGGCCATCTCTTTGAGAATGAGTATGGCTGTGCACTGCTAGGAGCACCCAGGCCACTGCTTGAATGCTTTGCTAATCAGAAGTTTTTTCCACCAGATACCCTAAATGATCTCTCTCAAGTTCAAAGTTCCACAGATTCCTAGAGCAGAGTTACAATAGCACCAGTTTTCTTTGCTAAAGCATAGCAAGAGTGACCTTTGCTCCAGTTCCAAATAAGTTCCTCATCTCTATCTGAGACCACCTCAGCCTGGACTTCATTGTCCATATTACTATCAGCATGTTGGTCAAAACCATTTTACAAGTCTCTAGGAATTTCCAAACTTTCCTCATCTTCCCGTCTTCTTCTGAGCCCTCCAAACTGTTCCAACCTCTGTCCATTACCCAGTTCCAAAGTCACTTCCACATTTACAGGTATCTTTATAGTAATGCCTCACTTTCCTGGTACCAATTTTCAGTATTAGTCCATTTTCACACTACAATAAAGAACTACCTGAGACTGGGTAATTTATAAAGAAAAGCAGCTTAATTGACTCAGTTCCACATGACTAGGAAGGCCTCAGGACACTTACAATGATGGTGGAAGGTGAAGGGGAAGCAAGGCACACCTTACAAGGAAGCAGGAGAGAAAGAGAGTGAAGGGAGGAGTGCCACACACTTTCAAACAACCAGATCTCATGAGAACTCATGTACTATTATGAAAATAGCAAGGGGGAAGTGCACCCTCATGATTCAATCACCTCTCACCAGGCCCTTCCCCCAACCCGTGGGGATTACAATTCGAAATGAGCTTTACTCAAAATTCTTCCAGGCTCTATTCACCACCCAGATCTAAAGCCACTCCACATTTTTAGGTATTTGTTTGACAAACAACTCACTTCAGCAACTTCTTCGTGATCACCAACATCTAGAAAATATCCAGATATTCTTCAAGTAGTAGATAATTTTTAATGTGGTATGTCTATGTAGTGGAATACTACTTAACAATAAAAGAACACACTAGTAAAAAATACAACAAATGGATGAATCTCAAAAGCATTGTATGAAATAAAATAAACCAGCCACAAAGGCTAGATACAGGATCATTTCTTTTCTATGGCATTCTGGAGAAGGCACAAGTATAGAAACAGAAAACACTCTTGGATGTCATATGCTTAGATTGGGGTAATTTGATTGACTATAAAGAGACACATACAAAAGTTTTTTTGTGATGGAACTATTCAATATTTTTATTATACTAGTGATTACATCACTGTAGACATTTTTCAAAATTGTACCATATGTAAATCATACCCAAAGTGAAAAAGAGATGAGGATGCAAAAGAAAAGTAGGGGAATGAGGACGAGAAAGAGGAAGAAGAAAGAAAGGAGAAAAGGGGCAATAAAAATGTGATACCCTGGCCCTAAGATTTTTCCCAGGTGATCTATCTTCCTTAATATTCATACATGTGTTTAGACCACTCCTTCCTTGATTTGGGGCTTACCATGTGTGAACCAATATATCATAGCAGATGGTACATTGTTTTGTTGCAAGATTTCTGAAATTAGGTTGTAAAAACCCTTGCTTTCTGGAAACATTCTTAGAGCCCTGAGCTGCAATGTAAGAAATTTGACTACCCTGAAGCCACCATGGTAGAGGAAACACATAAAGACACAACCTGGAAAAATTCCAGGAATATAAGGGAAGAGAGCTGGCTGTCCAGCCCTATTTGTTTCTAACTATAGGTGTTTCACTTATTTCAGAAATTGTGGGTCAGAGACAATTTGTCCTGCTCTCCCCTGATACATTACATATTTATGGGAAAAGTAAACAATTATGGATTTAAGATACTAAATATTAGCCTGATTTGTTAAGCAGTAGTAGATAAATGGAACAAAAACAACAAAAAAGCAAATGGTCTGTAAATGTATATAAGCAATCAGAAAAATGTTAATATTTTAGAACCACAGAAACTAATTTAGGACAGAATTATGACGAAATAATTTCACAAATATGGGGACTTTTTTCCCAAGTTTCTTTTCTAAAATTACCTTGAAACATCCATTAATAGTGTATTACTCTGCTCTTACGCTGCTAATAAAGACATACCTGAGACTGGATCGTTTATAGAGGAAAAAGGTTTAATTGACTCACAGTTCCACATGGCTGGGGAGGCCTCACAACATGGAGGAAGATGAAGGAAGACCAAAGGGACGTCTTACATGGTGGCAGACAAGAAAGCTTGTGCAGGGGAACTCCCATTTATAAAACCATCAGGTCTGGTAAGACTTATTCACTACCAGGAGAAGAGTTTTGGGGAAACTGTCCTCCATGAATCAATTATCTCCACCTGGCCCCACCCTTGACACATAGGGATTATTACAATTAAAGGTGAGATTTGGGTGGGAACACAGCCAAACTGCATCAAATAGGGATCACAAGAGAGCCTCACTGCTTAAATTGAACATTAATGGAGTCAAGTTTTCTGAAATTTAAAGCAAGAGCAACCCATAGTTTAGATATGGTATGCCTGAAGTCTTTAATGCACTATGAAGTACAATATAATAACTAAAATATTATGTCAAATCCTATATTGAAATCTTTGAAATATAGTTAAACATCTGTGCAATAAACTGTGGGTTCATCTGCAAATTGCCTATATTTTTGAAATAATTTATTGTACACAAAAAAGTAAAAACCATTTATGTGCTGATCTTAACTATCAAGATTTGATTATGAAAACATGACAGCGATCTAACCATAAAATACATGGTCTTTAATGAAAATGTAAAAGCTTCTCCTAGATGACCTGCATTTCTTTACTATTACTCTTTCGAATGATGCCTGTACAAAATTAGTTCTATCTGCCAAATAATGGGAATTTTTCAGGGTGTTAAACAGCACCATGCAGGGGAGGTCACATAAAACTTGAAAGGCAATTAATGCCAGTACTGGAATTTCTGAGATGATAGAAACCAGGTGGAACCGTAGTGAACTAGAAGTTGATATATTAAAAGAAAGATCTTGCCAATTTAGAAGAGAAAATGGATATAATTCAAATAAAAACTGGTTTTCTTCCACCTTAAATGAAAATCTGTATCTTCTCTTACGGTTTGTTTCTTTGTATCTTACCATCTTTCCTCTTTAGCCATCACTGAGTGTTAGAATGAACGGTTTCTGAAATTTCTTTATCTTCTGACTGCATGGAATTTTTCACAGTGCATTGAGCTAGAATGGAAAGTCATAACTAATGTATTACACTAACATTTATTAACCTCCTGTTAATTGTTGTTCCCTTAAGGAGCTCAGAGTCTAGCACAGAATATAAACAAATAATTACAATAAAGAGTGGTAACTGCAACAGCAGAAGTCTGTACAAGGTACAGATGTGGTGTCAATGCATACCTAATTTTTCTGGGCTACAGCAGGCTTGTTGAACACTTCCAGATGGATGATTATTGGACATTAATTTAAGTTTGTCAGGAGGATAAGTGGTGAGGAGGGCATTTCCAGCAAAGGAACTAGCATATGCAAAGACAGAAGGCTAAAAACAGCATAATGCTTGGTATTTGACATGTTATCAAGTATGAATAGGGGAGTAGCAAGGGATATGAAAGGGGTCAGACCAAAAAGGGATTCATTTTATACCTAGGAGTTTAGATTTATAAATGTAAGAAATTGGGAAAAAATGAATTTCCTTAAGTGTAAGATAATCACGATCATATAAATATTGTTTAAAGATCACTTTAGCAGTAGAATGGGGGTTGGCTAGAATATAGGAAATTTAAAAACAATACTGTTTAGCTAGCAATTTAATAACCTCATCATAAGGTGATGAAATCTAGAAAAGTGATAATAAAAGTGGCAACAGGTGGAGAGCAAGAGGCAGTTTTGAGACTACTTAGGAAGCGTATTGTTTGATGACTATTTAGAGATAGATATTGAGCACTGGACTTCTGGAATGACTCCTAGGTTTTAACATAACATATTAGATGGTTTGTGAGTCATCATCCAACACAAGTTATATAGAAGGAACACATCTGGGTGGAAGATAAGTTCAAATTTAGAATTCTGAATTTAGAGTGACCATAGGAAATAGAGGTAGAAGTGAGAAAAGGCAGAGAGTGGTTGGGATTCCCTGTAGTATATGGGAGCCCTACATAATTAATAACATCCTCTGGTAATATTCTCTAGTAGGGCATGATCTTTATGAGCATCTGCTTAAAATATCACTGGCTAACAGCATAGGCTCTGAATCAAAACTTTCAGAATTCCTATTCTTGCTGAGCTATGAAGCAATTACTTAACATTTCTATGCCTGCCTGCCTGCCTACCTGCCTTTCTTTCTTTCTTTTTCTTTCTTTTTCTTTCTTCCTTCCTTTCTTCTTTCTTTTTTCTTTCTTTCTTTCTTTTTTCTTTCTTTCTCTCTTTCTTTCTTTCTCTCTCTGTCTTTCTTTCTTTTTCTTTTCTTTTTTTTTTTTTTTTTTTGAGACAGAGTCTTGCTCTGGCTCTGTCACCAGGGTGGAGTGCAGTGGCGCGATCCTGGCTCACTGCAACCTCCACCTCCCAGGTTCAAGTGATTCCTCTGCCTCAGCCTCCTGAGTAGCTGGGACTACAGGATCGCACCACCATGTCTGGCTAGGCTAATTTTTTGTATTTTAGTAGAGACGGGGTTTCACCATGTTGGCCAGGATGGTCTCCATCTCCTGACCTGGTGATCCGCCCGCCTCGGCCTACAAAAGTGCTGGGATTACAGGCGTGAGCCACCGTGCCCGGCCACCTCAGTCTCTTAATCTGTAAAATGGAAGTAATAAGGTATCTATTTTATAGTGATATTAGAATTTAATGAGTTAGATTAACACAGCACTGAGAATAATGCTTAAGACATAGTGAAGACAAAGTGTTTGCCCAATAAGACAAATAAGGACTGAAAAGAGAAAACTTTCATCTCAACATGAGATTTTTCTGATGTATAGAAACATAAAGCAGAGACTACATTTTATTTTGATTGTATAGAATAAGGGCAGACAGGGATTTTGTTTTGTTTTGCTTTATAAAAGTTGATAAACCACTTCAGTTAGTTGCTTCCAAAGAAGCAAAGTAGAAGGCTTTACCTTTTTACATTTATTTATTGTTGTTGTTGATTGCAATGTGGTTTACAAGAGATACAATTTTAAGGCTGTTCTGAGTTGAAATTTAGAAATTAAGTGGTTTGTGATTTTCCACAGGAAGCCCATAATTGTGAAAAATAATATTTCTCATAATTTAAGCTTATTCGCACATTTAACATTAGCAAATGGGCCAATAACGTTGGGAAGAATATAATAATGGGGATATAATTGATGGAAAGACTATAATTTTAACTCAGTGGAAATGTATAATGAATTTTTCTAGAAAAATGAAGATTTCACAGTCTTACTCTGTCATATAACCTTAAAGAATGGTCCATGAACCTTCCTGCCAAGATGCCTTTTCATCATCTTGTTAAAGTTCAGTGACTCCTTTCAGAATCCCACTGAACTCTCACCCTTTTCACTTCTTGGCACCTCATTAATTGTTAACTTCTGCTGCTTGTCCACCAGTCTGTGGTTTTTCCATTTCACTTTCTAACTTGTATCTGAATCAGAAGTTAAACCACTAACTCTCCTGGAGCTATGACATGAGCTTGGAAAACTGTGAAAACAAAATTACTTTGGAAATAACTTCATGCTGAAATTATAAAGAGATGTTTGAAAATATGGCCTAATTTCAAAACTAAAACTGAGCCTATCTGAATTAGTGGAAATTTTTGGAAAAATAATCATGTAATTAGTAACTTTTTACCTCAATTCATATCTACAATATCACTTGACTTTAGCTAGAAGTGATTAAGTCCAAAGAAACATCCTCTTGGTACTTTAAGTAAAGAGAAGCAGAGATCAGCAAATAAAGACAAAAATTAGTCTTCAGAACACAATATCAATTGTTTGGTGGTCTCACCATTACATAAAATTTACTTTCTTAAATAAGCTCATATTTTATTACAAAATAAGATAGTAATTTGGCACCCCATTCCTGACTAATTCTTCATACAATAAAAAACAATAGATAAGATAAACATAAGGTCATTTTAAAAACCATCCTATCGTAAAAGTACAACGATGACAACTTTGCCAAATAATGGCTACAAAAATATTCCCAATGTTAAAGCATAGACAGAGTGATTAAAAGCCTCAGCTGTCCCATGCCATAAATTTAAAATAGAATTAATGTTACTTATATTGTGGAATACATTTGCTTCCATTATACAAATTTATCAGGCTTCGGGGGAATAATTTTCTTGGCCCAGGTCTCTTTTTAAAAGCTGTCCAAAGGAGCCTGAAATCATACCATCTTTTTATAAATTTCCCTGTAGCAAGCAGAAGCATTCAAAATCATTTCATTTGTTCAAATGGTGAGGACTCTCTAAAGGGACTTAGACCTTTACTGCAATCACCAGCACCTGCAAAATTTATTCTGGCGCTCAGCACACACCTGTGAGCCTTCATCCATCCACATCAGAAAAACTATTTAACACTAGGAAAGAAGGATTATAAGCCTCATCATGGGATTTGCTGTCATATTTCCAAGGCACACATGAGTGAGGTATCCGCCCACACATTCAAGGATTCTGATCGTCTAGTTCCAATATATTCTCTGCCTCTTCCTTGATAGCTTAAGTCCTGAATTCTGTTCTTAAATACTGTTGCAGCTTAAGCTGTCCTGCCTGACTTAGACTTCCTGACACTAACCTAGGCTTTTACTCATGACATGATGAATTCTATCCTTGAATGTTTAGTTTGAAAATTTGGCAAGTATGTTTATTTTAAAGAGAAAAATTATTTGCCTTAGGAGGCATACTTGGTGGCAGTAATTCATAAAGCTTTCTCATATACATTGTTTAATTTGATCATCATAGCCCTCAACTGAGGTGGGCAGTTAGCCTGTGTTACAGCCCCAGCATTTGTCTTCTTCTCCTGACTTCCAGGACTGAATGCGTGGTCCCCAGTTGCAGACCAAGACTGAATTCAGTTCCTAAGCCAGTCAGCAGTGGTAGGAGGCATAAATATTTTTCTACAGGGAATTTAGTCCAGTTTCTTACATTCAGTGATTCAGTCAAGATATCTGGGTTTGCTGGTGTCCCAAGATGCATTTGCACAAAGAGTTTTTAGACTGAGGAAAACACAAGACAACTTTGTCCCCATAAGACTGTAGCCAAGAATCAGACCCTTTTTTAAATGTCTGTTTGTGTTAGGATTCTCCCCTGTGACTTCTGCCTATTACTTGGCTCTGTTCTTCATGGCCCCACAATTGGAGTCCTGCCTTACACTCCAGACACTGACACATCGGCTACCTCCTGTCAGATCTCCCTTCAGGAGGTGGCTCTTTTTTACTCTGTGTTTCCTTGATGAGTTTCCCACCTAGATCCTTGCAGAATATAGATTGGTGTCTTTAAACTCGGATCCTCCCTAAATTCCCAATTGCAGCTATGACTAAAATTCCTTGCTAACTTCATCCCAGCCCTGCCTACAAAATACATCTGGATATATGGTAATAGTAATAAGAAGAACAGTAAAATTTTTTGAAGTGTTTGCTATTTTTCAGGCACAGTTCTAAGCTGTTGACTTATAGCAATTGTTTAATTTTCAAAATAATAATTTTATGAGATAAAACATGTTCTTTTCTTAATTTTACTTATGAGGCAATTGAAGCATAGAATAACTTGATCAATTAGTTAATTAGTCAGGAAACAGCAAGCTAGATTTTATCTGCAGTTGTTTTGCTTCTAGAGTCCACGCTCTTATTCAAAAAGTCTCATTAAACCATGTTTGAAGATAGACTTTGAATTTTGCAACTTGAACCACTGGCTTCCATCACAGGATAGGGTACTATTACTAGTGTCTATACCTCAGCACCATCGTATGCCCAAGCCCCAAATTTTGCACTCTTTCTCTTTGGTAAATTATTTTCCAATATGGTCATCATAATATCTTCCATCTTGCATACCTTCTGCAGAGACATTGCCACCCTTTTCATCAAGTTGTTGGACTGATTTTTTTTCTTCCCTTGAATAAGGGCTGGCCTTCTGACTTGCTTTGCCCAACAAAATGTGACAGAAGGAACACTGTAGGATGTTCAACATTAGGTTTTAAGAACTTTGTAGCTAAATGCTACATGAATGATCCAGGTTAGACAAGTAGAAAGCTCACTTGGTCAACCTACACAATCAAGAGAAATAAATTTGTGTTGTAAGACAAAGGTTGTCATGGTTTTCTATGTAGTGATAAATAGCTGAAACACATTCTCAGTCCTAAGGTGCCTGGATTCTGGCATACCTCATACTTGAACTGCCCTAAGTAGCACAGGTATAAATTTTAGAAAAGGTGAAAATGAAGCTGAGAGAGATTTAGTGAATTGTTCTAAGTTATATTAGTGAGATACAAAGCATAGACTCCAGCTGCAGACTTCTAAATTTTAAGTGCCATGGACTTTTAAATCTGCCGATATAGTGTGGATGTCCCCTCCAAATCTCCCATTGAAATGTAATCTCCAGTGTTGGAGGCAGGGCCTGGTGGGAGGTATTGGATCATGGGAGCAGAGCCCTCATGAATGGCTTAGCACCAACACTTAGTGATGAATGAGTTCATGGGAGATGTGGTTGTTTATAAGTGTGTGGCACTACTCCCTGCCACTTGCTCATGCCCTTGCCATGTGACATGCCTGCTCCTGTTTCACCTTCTGTCATGAGTAAAAGCTCCCTGAAGCCTCCCCAGAAGCTAGTACAGCCTGCAAAACCGTGAACCAATTAAACCTCTTTTCTTTATAAATTACCCAGCCTCAGGTATTTCTTTATAGCGACACAAGAATGACCTAACACATCCCCTGTCTTCCCAAACCAATATACCATATTACACCATTCTGTATTAAAAACAAAAACAAAAACAAAAAACAAAACAGTCTAGTAGTCATGATCTCCAACCAGCTTATTATTAGACCATAGCATTTTACCAGAGATGTTTTCCAAAAACAGTCCATCCTGGAATTCCCAGTGCAGTGTCTGACACCAGTAATCTTATAATAATCCTCTAAGAACTAAAGTGAATGCTTTTTGATGAAAAACAGGGGCATACTTTTCCTGTTGACAGCCACTTTTAAAATAAAGGATTTATTCAAAATTTTTACTCTCACATTCTCTTAAGTCTTCAATTATTCAAAAGAACAGGTGAGCCTATTTAGCATCAGTTCATGAAAATTTAAGGTCAACTAATTGGTTATTTTTGTCCCTGTCCACAGCCTATTTTACCACTTGTTCACAAATATTAGAGTTCTTTAAATGTCTTTGAAAGGCCATGGAGAAGTGACAGGTTAGTCTTTAAAGTAGAATTTTAGAATAAACTTTTGAGAAGAATTGTGTGTTCTGGCCATTCAAGAGACTTTGGTTTGTAATACCCCAAATCCTATGAGGAATGAATGCTTATTAAAACAGCATCATTGGATAAATAACATTAGCAAAACTAGGAGAATTACTGTATAACCATGCAAATGGGAAAGGGATAACTACATTTTCTTGAATGTTATACAAGTTTAGATTCTGTGCTATAAGATTACATTTTAAAATGTTTTTATTTTCTAAGAAAACAATACAGTGGAAAAAGTAATATTATATTGTTCTCATTATTTTTTCTATATTACCTTTTCTCATTCTGTCATAATTCATAAACTTTACTGCAATCAACAGCAATAAAAAAATCCAGCAGTCATTTATCCTAAATATTCTTGAACAATCCCAGTGTAATTTTATCTCTCTGTAAAAATGAGCTTCATTAAACATAAAACTAAATATGTATAGCTTTTCTATCTTTGCAGTAAGTTCCATATTTTTAAAAATAATAATAATGAATAAGACCTACTATTTGATAGCACAATAGGATGACTATAATCTATAGTAACTGTACATTTAAATAACTTAAAGAGTGTAATTAGATTATTTGTAACTCAAAGGATAAATACTTGAGGGAATGGATAACCATTTCTCCATGATGTGCTTATTTCACATGCATGCCTGTATCAATACACCTCAGGTACCCCATAAATATACACTAACTATTTACCCACAAAAATTTTATAAAAATTGAAAATTAAAAAATAATGACAATAAAAATACTGTATACCAGATCACATAATAATGTTTTCATTCAACAATCATTGGTTGGAATGATGAATATATCATTCTGTCCTCAATATTCCAACCAAAAAATACAAAAGTAGATCTACCCCATAATCTGAAGAATTAGGTAAGATTAAGATTATTTGTCTGTTCAGGAATATACCATTGGAAACAACAATATGACAGAACCACGAAGTATACACTGCCAAAGAGAAATTTCATACATGTTATTTCCCTGTTTTAACAATAAAAATATCATACTTTCATCTTTTTATTGACTTAATTATTAAATAGAAAAGCCACTCTGACAGATCACATTAAATTTTAGAAATTTTAGAAAAACCCTCATACTCACAAAGTGACAAAGTTGTCATAAACGATTCATACATTTTAGGCAATATAACCTATCAAGACAAAAATGCATATTTCACATGAACATCTCTAATGCAACCTTAGATAAGCCTTCTATCTGTTTGTAACTCAGACCCTGAACCTAAGTATATTCTTTCTTAAAAGTCGTATGTTCTCATATATACCTGAGTTGTGTACAATATCATGATTTCTCTGTAGATGTTAATGAAAGTAACACATGTTATACAGGCTTATAATAAAGATTAAATACAATTCTTATTGTGAAAGTGCTGTATACACTGTAGATAGCTCTCAGAACACTTTATTAATTTATTTAACTTATTTAGAACCCAATAATAGTAGCATCATTCAGATATTTCTGTTGGTCAGTTCTGTGCAGCTCGTCACCCTCCCTGACTGAAGTACCACAGTTAAGAATTGGGGGTGGGGGGGCGGGTAATTTTAACAAATCACAAAGCTGATTTTTGTCTTTCTGAACTTTCAGAACAGCTTTCTCCACCAGCCCTCATCTTCCTATCTCATGCCCTGTTTTTACAGATTGAATGCTTAATTGGCTTTCAACTGGTCAGATATTGCCTAATATTTTCTAAGATAACTTGAAATTTAATAGCTGCACTTTTGAAGTCTTAATATCATTCATACCAAAGGAGTGAATCTGTAATGGCAAAATGACAAACTGTTGGGATTTAATTTAGTACAATGAGTCCCACTTTAGATTCCATTAACTCCTAAAATACAGATACTATCCCATTCTGCTTTCTCTTGAGGTAACCTCTGTCAAGACTTTATTAATGTCTCTTCCCACTTTAAGACATTTCACATGAGAAGTGCTTCTCCTTTATTTTTTTAACTAGGAGGAGAGGAAAGTAAACATTTGTGTAAACTTACACACAACTTTAAAAAAAAACAAATTTGACCTACCTTTTAATGTGGTTGTTTGTTTTTTCTTATAAATTTGTTTAAGTTCCTTATAGATGCTGGATATTAGACCCTTGTCAGATGCATAGTTTTCAAAAATTTTCTCCCATTCTGTAGGTTGTCTGTTTACTCTGTTGATAGTTTCTTTTGCTGTGCAGAAGCTCTTTAGTTTAATGAGATCCCATTTCTCAATTTTTGCATTTGTTGCAATTGCTTTTTGTGTCTTCACCATGAAATCTTTGCCTGTGCTTATGTCCTGAATGGTATTGCCTAGGTTCTCTTCCAGGGTTTTTATAGTTTTCGGTTTTAGGCTTAAGTCTTTAATCCGTCTTGAGTTAATTTTTGTATATGGTGTAAGGAAGGGGTCCAGTTTCAATTTTCTGCATATGGCTAGCAAGTTATTTCATCACCGTTTATTGAATAGGGAATCCTTTCCCCATTGCTTGTGCCAAGTCTGTTGAAGATCAGATAGTTGCAGGTGTATGGTCTTATTTCTGAGTTTTCTATTCTGTTGGTCAATGTGTCTGCTCTTGGTCTATGTGTCTGCTCTTGTAACATTGGTTTATGTGTCTGCTCTTGTAACATTACCATGCTGTTTTTGTTATTGTAGCCCTGTAGTATAGTTTGAAGTTGAGTAACATGATGCCTCCAGCTTTGTTCATTTGCTTAGGATTGCCTTGGCTATTCAGGCTCTTTTGTTGATTCCATATGAGTTTTAAAATTGTTTTGTCTAATTCTGTGAAGAATGTCAGTGGTGGTTTAACGGGAATAACATTGAATCTGTAAATTGCTGTGGACAATATGGCCATTTTAATGATATTGATTCTTCCTATCCATTAGCAAAGGACATGAACAGACACATCTCAAAAGAAGAAATGGATGTGGTCAAAAAGTATATAAAAAAACCCTTAACATCACTGATCGTTAGAGAAATGCAAACCAAAACCACTATGAGATACCATCTCACACCAGTCAGAATGGCTAGTATTAAAAAGTAAAAAAATAACAAGTGCTGGTTAGATTGTGGAGAAACAGGAACGCTTATATACTGTCAGTGGGAGTGTAAATTAGTTCAACCATTGTGGAAGACAGTGTGGTGATTCCTCAGAGACCTAAAGTCAGCAATGCCATTTGACCTAGCAATCTCATTACTGGGTATATACCTAAAGGAATATAAATTGTTCCATTATAAAGACACAGGTGCACATATGTTCACTGCAGCACCGTTCACAATAGCAAAGACATGGAATCAACCCAAATGCCCATCAGTGATAGACTGGATAAAGAAAATGTGGTACATATACACCATGGAACACTATGCAGCCATAAAAAGGAATGAGGTTATGTCCTTTGCAAGGACATGGATAGAACTGGAGGAATTTATCCTTAGCAAACTGAAACAGGAACAGAAAACCAAATACCACATGTTCTCACTTAGCTCAAGTGGGAGCTAAGTGATGAGAACACATAGACACATAGAGGGGAACAACACTCTAGAGCCTATCAGAAGGTGGAGAGTTGAAGGAGGTAGAGAATCAAGAAGAATAACTAATGGATACTAGGCTTAATAACTAGGTGATGAAATAATTGGTACTACAAATCCCCATGACACACGTTTACCTGTGTAACAAACCATCCTACACATGTGTCCCTGAACTTAAAGTAAAAGTTTAAAATAAATAAATAAAAACAAATTTTAAAAGCATGCTAAGTAATGAAAAGCTGGGCAACTCTGTCAAAGTCTTATGGCCCTGAAGAAATGTGTACTTAACTTGAAGTTTCTTTCTCTTAGTATGTGTTTCATACCTACCACATATCAATTACTTCCCTACTAAATAAAACCTGTGTGGGCAGAAGGCAAAATGTGATGACTCTGTGTGAAAGTTAATGATTCAGGACTCACATAAAGCTTAGCTTCAAAAAGGTCTTTGAGGTTCACATCTGATCACATCCACTATGAACAAGAGCAGATGGCATGTCAGTAGTTGACAGGGCATCAGCGCTGTGGGATTAGCTTGGCATCTCTGTAAGTGTTCAGGAAGGGGGATTAAAAACTTCCAGGTTGGCAGCTACTTTCCCCACTCCTGCACTTTAAATGTCATATAACTTCATCCAGGCTAAACATGACAGATGATGTTTCTATTCCCACCGGATTTGCTTTGCAGTATCATTGCAAGAAATGTGGAAACAATCAAGACATCCTACATTTCAATATCAACTTGATCCGGGGCTAGGAGAAGTATAAAAATGACTTGGAGCCAAAATATCCAAAAAGAGAAACTTGACAGCCCTCTTTGTGGTTACTCTTTAGAAGCTACTCTTTATATACTCGCTCGATGCATCTCTCAGCCATGAAAATAAACCCTAGGATGCATGCTTAAAAACGAGAAAGAATCTATATAGGTCAAATGGAAACCAGACAGAGAGCAGAATGAAAACCAGGCTATGATGAAACTCTGTCTTTCTGTTCTCTTTTGGCTTTACTTTCATGGTCTTTTTATGAAGAGTATCAGTGCATTTGCTGCTGCCAGATGTTTGTTGTATGGTAAATTTGGGGGATCGTAAGAGAGAGTAAAAGTGTCCAAGAACCAGGGGAGAATCTGCAATAAATGTTGGACAGTGAAATGTAAACATTGGTGGTCAAGGTAGAAACTAGCCACACAGGTTGCTTTACAAAAATGTTTTCCAGACTTGGCACAAAGCCCAATGTGAGAGAAGAAAAAAAGAAAAGAAGCAATAAATAAATCAGGATAAATAGAATTATTTAACTCTTAAAAATGAAAAACAAAGTAGGGATCAGTGGGACAATCCCCAGGTCATATTATAAAGCCCACATACCTCTGTTATTTTCCAATACGTGAGCTACTATTCCATTTCATTTCCCAAGTATAAAATCATTAGTATTGTGAGCAGTGGCATTTCACTTGAAACAAAAAAGCTTCATAGCACCGAGGGGTCTCTCAGAAGAATAGAGGTATTTAAAAGAAAAGTTGGTGCAGTAATTTTCTTTGAAATAAAATATTGCATCATTATCTGACGTTGTCATTAATTTTCAGGCTATGCTTAGAATTTCCGTGGCAAAGGAAAAAAAAGGATGCATATTAAGGGCACAGAACAGGCCATGAAAGGGGACTGCTTTCAATAATGAGAACTGAGCATGTAGAGGCCAGTCCCACCACTGTTATTTGCATAGGAAGTCATAATATCAGGTTACATACATTCTTTTTAACCTGTCTTCATAGGTCTCAATGATGAGCTTCAGGTGGTAAAAGAAGCCCCTGAAATAGAATGGTAAATGCACGTCTAACTTTTGGGGGAAAGATGGTCCACTGCCTTTTATCAGAATTTAAAGGGATCTATAATCCCAACAAATCTAAGAGCTATTAAAAAAGAAAATCTTTGAAGTTTTCTCTAGTTTTATGCTTCTCAATTTTATGCTGTTTATGTCAAGATAAAACTAATGGATAATTTCTGAAAAAGGATGATTAGAAATTATAAATAATAGTGATATAAATAGGTCATAGTTTTTGAGTATTTACAATATGCCAGGCACTTTTCTTTATAAACCTTATCTTATTTAGTGCACAAAACAATCTTATAAAGTAGGTATTTTTATTGTTGGTTACTTCAGGAAACAGGGACAGATGATTTTCCAATGAGCAAACAACTGGGAGGTGGCAGAACCTGTCATAAAAGCTATATGGGCTAACTCCAAAGCTGGGGTTTCCATGACTGTACTTTACAACATTTTCATAATGACATGATTATGTAACCTTTTCCAAAAACAAGAGAAAAATTAATATTTTCTTTGAAAGTGCAGGACCACACATGGGATACAGTATAAGAAAAGGGGAAAAAATGTATTTTGCCTGCTAGCATTTTAATCCACGAGTATTAGGACTTAAACAAGTATCAAATTGCAAAAGAAAGAAGAAAGCACAGAACAGTGTGCTATACAGACAGCCAAAGCCAACATATGCGCCTCGGGTGTCTTGGGTACGAGCTCGCTCACAGGCAATATCAATGTCTCAAGTTCCAAGCTTTCTTGGATCCCATCTTCCTTGTAAAGTGCACTGAAGCTGCAAGTCATTCAGTCACTCAGATTTATTTTACCCTATGGACAACTCTACTGATGTTTGGGGGATTTCAAGGGGGGAAGAGGGATGATCTGTGTAGGGCCGGCTTTATGGTGTGCAACTTGTGTAGTCACACAGGACCCCGTGCCCAGAAGGGTCCTGCAATTGTTTTAGTGCTCTGCTGTTGCCATCTTGAAAATTTTAACACATTTTGGAAAGGGGCCTCTGCATATTCATTTTGCACTGTGCCCTGAAAATTAGGTAGCTGGTCTTGGTCTTGTTTTGAAGGTTACGTATTACATATTTTCTGTTTTAACTGAATCATCAAGCTTTATTCACATTAAGAGCTGATCACAGACACAGGAATGGGCTAGAGAGTAAGAAGGGTGACTCTTAGGTGTCTACAAAGTACCATCCACTATGCAACCATGCACACTACATACTTCATCCTATTTCATCCCTTTAATCCATGTATGCTAAATGTGGAAAAATGCCTTAATCTTCATCAAACTGATACTTCCATTTTTACAGTTAATCGATTCAGTTCAGTGAGGCGGATTCAAGCAATGAAAAAGAATTCAATTAAGCTGTTTCCCCTCCGGTCTTGAAGACTGCTCATCTGTCATGCACAGAAACACAGCCTGATGAGAGTCTTCATGCCTGATAGGATATCTTCTGGAGGTGACTGAGGGCTACTAGTGGGTGTCTGAACATGACAAAGCTGCTTAATCCACCTACTTGTGTTTCATGTCCTTATAGTGCTGAAATACAGCACTATATGCCCAATTAAACATCTATTTCCTGGATAGTTTTAATTTAAAGGGTATTGGAAACTTAATTCTAACTCAGTTTTTCTTTAGCTTTCCAATACAAGAAGCACTTCAACAGAGCAAAAGATGTGTTCTTTCTTCTTACTTACCAACACTGCTTAACTAGTCATGGGACATTTACTCTCACAGGCACTTGTAATTTAACTTAAACTACAGATTAAAATATATTTATCCTATTTTTCTAGAAAATACACATCACACTTTTAAAAATGTATTTGTATTTTTATACTTATCCTCTGAAAATCTTTTTTTGACTTTTTCTATTATACTTTAAGTTCTGAAAATCTTAAGCAATTTTAGAGCAATGCACAGAACTCTCTTAAAGAACCACTAATCAAATATCTTTCATGTGTAAAATCAGGATCAAGAGAATGTATTTAAAAGTGCCTTCAAAGCTGTAAAAATGAATAAAACATTTATTACTCCCCTAAGAGGGTTAAAGAATGGGTGCAATGATGAAACAAAGTTTGCTGTTAGTTGGATTTATAGTATGAGGCTCTTTCTAAGAGGAGTTGATATGAAGAAAGAGGGTTCTCAAGCATCTGGAGGATAACAGGAGGCCCCTGAATGCTGGAGCGAGATAGAGAGATATAATATCAACCTTGCGTGTCAAGGAAGGCAGACAGGAGCAAATGAGAAGTTTGTCATTTTTCCCACTTCATATGGTTTTTTTTCTGAGCCAGTTTAGACTAAAATCTTAAACTGGTCATAAGAAACAAGTTTGACCTCTGTTAGAATAGCACAGTATACTCTTTGGTTGCTCTGAATCAAATTTCTAAAATGAAGCAAGGTGAAAAGATCAGTTACTGCCTCAGAGGAGCGTTTTTCTGACATGTCAGCGGCACACAGTAAGAGATGCAATATAAGCAGTACATGGCATGCACCTGAAACTTTTTATTATCTCATTCAATCTGAAAAGTGTGGCTAGGTATTACTCTCTGTGGCAGGCACACCCAAAGGTGACCTTCAGTGAATCATGGCTTTGCATAAGCCCCTCTACCTGACTGCAAATGAAATCTTTGACTTGATTCTAACTAATAAAATACATCAGAAGTGATGGGTTATTACTACCTTGATTAGGCTACATCAAATGTCACTCATGTGATGATATTATGTTACACAAAATTTAGTCTTTGCAGAGTGGAACTAGAGCCTCTCTTAGCTGACTTTTTGAGGAAGGCAGCAATGTTTAGGAAGTCCATGTGGCAAGAACTTATGGGTGACCTTGAGGAACTGCAAGACCTGAGGACAGTCAACAGTCAACAACCAGCAAATAACCAAGACCCTCAGTCATACAACTTTAAGGATATTAATTCTGCCAACTCCTTTGGTGAGCTTGGAAGTGCATGTGTTCTGTCATGCCTCTGCATTGAAAGTGCAGTCCAGCCAACACTTGATTGCTGCCTTGCATGACCCCATGCAGAGGACTTGTTGTAGACTCCCAACTCTTAGAAACTGCAGTTATAGAGTCCCAACTTCTAGAAACTACAGGATGATTAATGAATGTTGTAAGCTACTAAGCTGTGATAATTTGTTAGCCATCAATAAAATGATAATATATGATATGGTTTGGCTGTGTCCCCCCAATCCAAGTCTCATCTTGAATTGTAACTCCCACAATTCCCACACATCATGAAAGGAACCTGGTGAGAGGTAATTAAATTATGGGGCAGGTCTTTCCTGCATTGTTCTCATGATGGCCAATAAGTTGCACAAGATCTGATGGTTTTAAAATCAGGAGTTTCCCTGCACAAGCTCTCTCTTTGCCTGTCGCCATCCACATAAGATGTAACTTGCTCCTCCTTGCCTTCCACCATTATTGTGAGGCCTCCACAGCCATGTGGAACTGTAAGTCCATTAAACATCTCTCTTTTGTAAATTGTCCAGTCTCGGGTATGTCTTTATCATCAGCATGAAAACAGTCTAATACAGTATACCATTCTGTTTTGCAATGGGACTTAAATATCAGACAGGTTAAGCATCTTCAGCCATCTATAGCAGACTTCAAACATGCATCTGTACAGTCTCCAACTCTGCATTTCTCCAATTTTCATCCACACAATCAGCTAATGAACTCTTACTCCTTTTCCTGAAACTCCAATTTCTGGGTTTCCTACATTTATCTTGCTTTTTTTGTCCAGCTTCTCAAACTTCAATTGTTCTTTACAAGACATTACCATCCATCGCTACCCTCCGTGACTGTCTTTGAACCCAGATCTAGAAACCAAGCTTGGGTGCTGATATACATTCTATGTTTTGGTTAAAATTTGGAACTATTCAGCTGTTGTTGTTTTTTTTTCCCCCTTAGAGAAACCACAAGATAAAAATTAGAAAGGTTCTGAATTCAAGTTTGCTTTCAAGGTGCAAAAGTTTAACAGCACTATTTATGAAGTCTCTCTCCTCCTACAAAAGAAGGATTTTAAAAAGCAAAGATGCTTTCATGTTTTCTTATCTTTACTGACAGAAATGATGCATTTTACTGTTAATAGTCTTACAATTTTATAGAGCGAACAAAATGTTTTGTACACCATTATGGACAGAATTTTTGTGTTTCCTCCGAAATTTATATGAGGAAGCCACAACTCCCTGGCTGTATTTGGAGATGGGGCACCTAAGGAAGTAATTAAAGTTAAAAGAGGTCATAAGGGTGGGTCCCTGATCCAGGAAGATTAGTGTCCTTAGAAGAAGAGACACCAGAGAGTATTCTCCCCGCCCTACCCCACCTCTCTCTGTCTGTCTCTCTCTCTCATCACACAAAGAATAGGTCATGTCAGCATACAGCCAGAAGGTGACCATCTGCAAACCACGAAGAAAACCCGCAACCCAAACCAAACCCTTCTGGAATCTTGATCTTGGATTTTCCATCCTCCAGAATTGTGAGAAAATAAATTGCTGTTGCTTTAATCTACCCAGTCTGTTGTATTTTGTTATGGTAGCCCTAACAGACTAGTGCATACATCTTTCATTTTTAAAAAAACTCTCAACATTTGTGGACAAAAAATTATTTCTCCTTCAATATTAAGGCACATATAGTCAACACATCACATCAAATTAGCTGAAAAACTTCTATAAAATACAGTTCCCAGAGTACCACCTCATTCAGATTCTGATTAAATTAATCTTGGGAGAGACTCTGAAATCTGTTTATAAGAAGCAGCAAGGTGTGCTGGGTGATTGCTTCTGTTGCTGAAATGCTTGGACCACACGTAGAGAAGCACTGCTCTAAGCATTCTTATCTATGTGTCCCTAATGAATTGAGATGATGGAGTAGGGAATGATTCTTAGTAAGTCAAAGTGCTTATTTATTATTCAAGAATAAAGAAGATATTTAGGACCTAGAACTTTCAGAATGTATATAGGCATCTATGTTCAAATATAATAATTGAGATTCTTTTACAATTAATAAAAATGATGTTGTTTTAATGTTTCTACTTTATTTTCCACGTTCATTTTTGCTCCCAAATAAAATACACATGGGAATATTCCTTTTCATGCTTACTTTACAAAGTTAATATACATTTAGCATTAAGGTAAAGAATCCTGGGTCTGGGAAACTGAATAAGAAACAGATGTTGGGAAACTAGTGCAATCTAAAAGGCAGTCTACCTTCATTTCTATTATAAGGAGACCCACATCAGGACCCCTGTTGTGGCTATATTCTCCCAACAGAAGTTTCATTTAGGTTTTTTTTTTTTCTTTCAGTAATGAAACTCAAGTCAGGAAGTTTTCAAGCTGCTGATACTCCTACAAAGGCTATGGATTATTTTAGGCAAGTGTTATTTTGAAAATACCTGCCCCATTCAAAACACTGCTGCAGGGCACCAAAGCAATAGAAATTTTCAAGCCCTGCTGCCCATATCTTCCTCCTTCTGATGCCCAGCATGACACCCTACAGCAAATACGTGAGCTACTTGCTAAAGAAGAAGTGTTCTTTAAAAAAATCATAATTTGCTAAATCCTGTAGTGTCTCAGAACATTCCCTATATATGTCCTTCAAATCTTCACTTTATAGATTCTCAGCTGAGAAGACAACTCCAGAGATATGAAGAAAGCCATACTTTACAGTATTGAGCTGACCCTTCTTCTGAAAAAGATAACTGCCAAGTCAAGGTTATTATTTGTATGCATTAATTTTTAATTGAGTTTGAGAGCCGAAACTATTTTGATATCCTGATTTTCCCAAAGAAATTGCTTGCCTAAGTTGATTAATGAGGTAATGACTCAGGAGCCCAAGCAACGAAGCAAGGCGAAGGAATACAGCAGATATATCAAACACTAAAGACTTATTTTCCCTAAATTCAGAAAAAAAATTGAGTTTTTTAAAAAGTTTTTAAAATACAGGCTTAGACAAATAAACTTGTGAATTAAAACCATATTCTCTTATCATTTTGTATATCATTAAAATATCACCATCAACATTTTTCTTCTACTTTTTATTTCTTGGACGTTTTTTCCTCTCTTTTAACATTATGTTTACTTTCCTCAGGTTGCAGACCTTTAAGATTTAAGCCTAGATCTGGCTTTGTTTCTTTTCCTTATTCTCAATCTGAACACCCCTTTTATCCTCTGGTCAAATGTCCTATACAAAGCACAAGCTCCCCTACTCATTTTACTATTGTTCTACTATTCTACATCATTACTCCAATGATGATTTCATAGACCAGTTAACAAAAGACACCTTCCATAAAAATAATTTCCTCTCAAATCTACACGATGATTATTTTGTCCAAAATATTCACTATGCATCAATTATATAGTGAAAATATAATTTTTCATCTACCAGTTTATAAATTTTAAGACACTACTTCTTACAGAGTACTAGCAATAAAACAAAATGGGGCCTAACAATGAGACGCAGATATACGAGTGTATGTTTTGGGATGCTGTGGTTAATGTTTCTACATAGCTATATGTCTTCTGCCTGGAGCTACATCTCCACATCATTTTCCCCAAAAACTTGTTTGACAAACCAGTATGTTCAGTATATGTTAATTAGTCTTGGGGAAAAAAAGGATATGCAATCAAATAAATATGAGAAACACTGTTGCAGTTAAACAAAGTTCATTATATTTATATATTTTAAAATTTATCTTGAAATAGATAAAGTATACCAAAAAATGAAGTGTTCCAAATTATATGTGCTATCCCTGTACAAGAACTATGATATTATTTTGTGTTTCTTTGCAATTTTTTGGCATCTGTCCTAGGTGAACAAGCAGAGCTGATTTGCTTTTTGTATTGCAAGGCATCTTGGATTACTGAACATACTAATATATTTTGGGAATTTTCCATGGGAGGAAAAGAATGCAGCATTAACCAAACATATTTGACAATAAAGACCTCCCATTCTCCCATCGGCTGCACTCACTGTTTTCTCCTAAAACACGTTCCTAGAATAATACTCTATAGCAGACAATTGAGAAACTCTGTTCAAGCCTGTGCCTTCAGAGTGACACCCCAAAGAAGACAGCCATAGGAACAACAAAGCACAGTGGACAGAGCTTTGGAATAAAAAATAATTGGTTTTAAATTCATTTCTTAATTATGCAAACTACTTGCTGAATTACCTGAGTATTTCTTTAAATCTCTCAGTGATACAGTTTCCTCATCTATAAGATGGAGAAGACAATGATGTGCCTCCCTTTGAGTTGTGATTCTTAATAAGATAACCTGTATAAAAGTCCCTGTGCAGCCGGGCGCAGTGGCTCACTCCTGTAATCACAGCACTTTGGAAGGCTGAGGCAGGCGGATCACAAGGTCAGGAGTTCAAGACCAGCCTGGCCAATATGGTGAAACCCTACTAAAAAATACAAAAATTAGCCAGGTGTGGTGGCGGGTGCCTATAGTCCCAGCTACTCAGGAGGCTGAGGCAGGAGAATTGCTTGAACCTGGGAGGCGGAGGTTTCAGTGAGCCGAGGTCGTACCACTGCACTCCAGCCTGGGCGACAGAGTGAGACTTTGTCTCACACACAAAAAAGAAAAAGTCCCTGGTCCCTGTGCATAATGATAGTTTGTATTCATGGAGCAACTACTGAATGCTATAGTCAGCTTAGAGCACATTACTAAGTATAACAGTAAGTCAGAAAAAATCAGATTACAGGTTACTTGTTGTAAAATTTGGTTGGGTTTTAGCAAATGCCTTCTCCTCATAATAAAATTTGTAATGAATTGTAATCAAGGTTTTTTTTTTTTCCTGAGTTTTAAGCTACTTTAAACCAAAGTTTCATGTCTCATTTATCTTTTCATGTGTGTAATGGAACAACACTAGTTAATCAATTTTGGTAAATTTAGTTGAAAAAAGTTGTATGAAAATGTTGGTGGCCAATATTTTCCAACTATTGATACCTAACACAACAACAAATTTTATCTATTATTAAATTATAAATAATTATAATTATAAATGATTACTGTATTTTATTCATTTATACATGCAATTACAATTTAAGCTCTAATTGTCATGAAATGCAATACCTATTAAATCCTATTCATCAGTTTCTTTAGAGATGTTTATGTGTATGTTTGTCTAGTGGGTAGAGTCATAAAGTGGAAGTAGATTATGTCAAAAGTATATTCCTCCGATTTAGGAGTATATAACTCCTATAAACAATTGTATTTATTGTCAAGTTTTAAATAAATGATTATTAGTTATCGCCCAGTAGAAATTTGAAAATTAATTTTGAAAAGATTCATTCACCAAATTCTCAGAAATATAAAATTGTCACAAACAGCCACTAACCAGAAATCCTTGAAAGTGACATCATTTATAAGTCAACAAGCATGGCTTTCACATGATCAATAAGGTTCGCATATTCATTTCCTACAAACCACACCCAAGGTAACTTTTGAAAAGAGGGTAAAATGATGCTATTAAGACAGTGAGAAGAGTGAGAAAAAACATTAAATGCTTTATTGAGAGAAATTTGAAGAATATAGTCTAATCTTCCAACTTTAAGTCTGAGGACTGGAAATTTTCCAAGTGTTTGGATTAATGTTCAAAGATTTCAGTACACTGGGACGTACAATTACACAGAGATAACATAAATTTTATATGTAGAGAGAGTCAGCAACAGAGCATGTAACCTGCATAGTCATAGACCGTTGGGTCCTGCACTTGGTTTACTGTTCTGCTCTTGCTGTCTTGTTATTTGTGACAATTTTAACTTTGAACTTGTGTTCTGTAAGTGAAGTCCAGTGGGACGATGGAGCATGCACGAGCAGAAGAGACAGGCTAAGTGTACCCAAAGGCTCAGGTAGGCAGCATGCATCCAAGGAGGTGACCTGGCTGCAGAATGTGCAGATCAGGGGAAGTCCGGGGCACTGCAAAGTCCCCAAGGTGGCAGCTGGGACTGGGAGCTGGACCCAGGTTGGTGGCAATGAGAACAGCAATGGTAGCAGCAGCAGCAGCAAGAATAATGGGATGCCAGCTTGTTTGTCCATTCCCAGAACCTGTCTCTACCACATCTGTACGAATATGAACTCTCCTTATCAATAAATTATTACAAAATATAAGTATACAGATGGACATTGCAATAAAGCACATTAGGGAAGAATTGCAAAGCAAATATCCATAAGCAGAAAAATAGAAATTGAATTTAAAGATTGTCACTTATAGAAGAAAAGAACACTATTTTCATAGGAAGCTTCAAATGAAATAATGACTAATGAGAAATATATTTGAAATTATTTCTTTTGTAATTAAAGGATAAATATAGAAAGAATGAACAGATATTTTTAGTTATTAAAAAACCTATGAAGTCTTTTTTTATAACTTCCACAAGTTACAAGTAATGCCACAGGAAACATTAGAATGCCCCTGTACAAATTTTCTTTTAAAATTAAATTTAGACTTACATAAAACAGATTCACATAAAAAGTATAACGTTTTTAACAAAAATTTTCCTCAGGAATTATAAGCTCTAGATATACTAAAATATATATTTTTTAAATAATGTATTAGACCGTTATTCCAGCTCTAGTAAGTTGCATAAGCAGAAAAATCTTTCTCAAAATTAAAAGTAATCAGGAATCATTTGATTTTTGCAACTAATGTTGCTTTCATTTATACAAATTAAAATAAAGTTGCTGAAAGTATAAATTTGATGACAATAAATAAAGTTTAGGAAAGCAGGTCAGAAAAAATCAAGATATCACATTAACAAATGATTATTATTATTTTTCATAGATGACAAAGTATATTAATACATGACATTATTGCATAAGTTATGAGGTCAAACTATTATTTCTCCTCATACTTTTAAGTTTATATTTTAACTCATGTCTCACTACTATAACTACTATGTTTTATAAGCAATAAAATATTTTTAAGAAAACATATTTATGTTTTGGTATTTTTAATTGCACTTTTTCCTTAAAGCAGTTTGAATAAGGGGCTCTAAATTTCATATTATACTGGAACCCACAAATTATATACTCAGGTTAAACTTGAAGGGTTTAACCTGGTGGGAAAGAAAGTAAACCAGCAGAATGGAAGTTGGACTAGATCCTCTGGTATTCAAATTACATCTCTATCATTAACCAGCTGTGGAACTTCAGATAATACACTTAATATTTTCAATTTCTTCAAATATAAAAGTAGGATGTAAGTTGTATATTATAATGTCCAGTCTTCTACCAAATATAGGCAGCATGAATGGCAAAATACATTTTATATCTTGTAAAATACACTCAATGTTTTTCTTGGAAAGTTGTTTTGCACATTAGCCTTCTAAAATAGAACTTGTATTTAACCCAGGGTTCTGCACAAGTATCTGTCTGTGGAAACTTTTTCACTCAACACTATCAATTTTCAATGTATCTGGAATTCTCCTGGACATTCTTTGAGAAACATACAAGCACAATGTTTCCTTCAGGTTTTAATATTAGATTTTAAAAAGGTAAAAATGAACTTAGAATGTAAGCTAATTTTTATGCTACTCAGGTAGGGTAGGGGTTCAAATCAAACTTGAAAGACATTTATGCATCTGTGACTTGTCAACCACTAAACTATACCAATAAAAGACATTTTACTTTCATGGGCAGTCCAAGACACCACAGGGCTCCCAAATGGGTAGCTGGGACTGGGACCTGGACTTCAGTTCTCAGGGAAGATACACAGGGTTAAAACACTAGTTGCCACTAGGTTGTTGTTGGGTTTTTTTGGGGTTTTTTGTTGTTGTTGTTTGTTTGTTTTATTTTTATACAACACATACCAAAACATAATCTTTTAACCAAAGATTATGCTAATTGTTCACCTACTAGAAATCTTTTGTTCCATAGGTAATTCAGGTGATCATATAAAGTGCATTACATAAGTACTGTATCTTTTCAAAAGCTTAGGAGAAACTTCAAAGATCATAGCATTACACAATTTTAAAAAGACAGTCATTGAACTATATTTATTTTTCTTTCTGATAATATACCAAATTTTACCTATTAGCAGTAGTTTCTGGGAGTCAGTGCCTCATTATCAACGTGAAAATGGCAGGGATAATATAACTTAGGAATTAAGAAAGCCAGCAATGCCGTCATGTTTGTGGATTTGATACATCACGTTCTTGCCAAGTGACATGGTGCAATTTAAGTGATTCTATTCATATATAATTTGAAACTTAATACAATTCCTATCCCTTCAAATTGATTTGAAAATTAAATTAAGTTAAAACATAAAAACACAAAAGAGACCAAAACGAAGAGAACAAAAATAGAAAGGAAATCGAAGCCAAAAAAGAACAGAGGAAACCTAATATGATCAATATCTTCAAGGAGATAAGGAAAATTATGATATTTTTAAAATATATATGGGATGTTGTTTTTAAATATATATAATATATGAATTAAAAAATTATAGAAATTTTATAAATGAAAGCAGTAATTAAGAACAAAATTAAAAGATTACTCATAACAAAATATAAACTTGATGACACCACTGTCAAAAGTAGAGGATAAAAAATAATACTTTTATTAAGTATTTCTTAAGAATAACTAAAATCGAGGATCAATGTAAGAGATTCAACATCCAGATAATAGATTTTCAGAAATAATAAACAGAGAAAATGGAGGAAAAGTAATGAAAAATATAACACTAAGAAAATTTCCCAGAATTAAAAAAAGGAGATGTTACAGAATTAAAATGTCCATGAGAAAAATAAATGAGAAGAAACCCACACCAAGGAATATTATCATCAAGTTTCGAAACATGATGGATTAAGAAAAAACCTAAATTGTCAAAGAAGGAAAACGGGTCCCTTAAACAGGTTATGAGATCAACCACAGCAATACGGTGTAAGGGAAGCAAATGATAGTTTCATACTTGCAAGTTTTCACAAGTGTACCCCTACTGCTTGAAGCTACTGGATACACCCGTCTGAAAACTACAGTATGCTTCAAGCTAAAGTTAGAAAATCGAGGATCCAAAGAAAGAAGGAGATAAACAGAATCTACAGGATGGTGATGAATGACAATTCTAGGAAAACATTTGCTGATCAGGACAAAAGAACAGGGAGTCCAGATCAAAATAGGAAGACAAAAGTCTGCGGGAGAAATGGCATTAACTGGCAATAAATGGGACTGACAGAAATTTGATATATTAGACTAGAAAGGGCAATTTTACAGTTCTTTTCAATAATTTGGGATAAATTAGTAAAAAGAAAAAGAAATAGTGAAAAGGAGTGAAGTATTGTCCCCATGAAAAAGAAGATACACAATGTTATATAGCAATAGGATATTCATGTGTAAGAAACGAACAATATTGTTATACTCATAATTTAAAAACTTGTAATGTTAATTTAATTAAAATCATGATGCACTGTTTTAAAAGTATTGAGTTAGCAGGGGTGCCTCAGGAAAGTGATACTAGAAAGTTATAATATCAGTGTCAATTTTAAGAAGTCAAAACATAATATCAACGTTTGAAAAAGCAAGATATAGGTGAATATATATATGTTATATACATATGATATACAGAACAAAGAAAATATAATTTAAAGTGGTAGCCTCAGAAAAGCAGAAATTAGGACTAGGGAAGAATAGGGTAAGGAATCAATTTTTCTTTATGCAACTAATAGCACTATTGGACATTGTTTAAACTGTGGAGATTTGTGTATGTTTACATATATGTATTATATCTGAAATGTATATTATACATAATATATTTAGGTTGGTGCAAAAATAATTTCGGTTTTTGCCATTGAAAGGAATGACCAAAGCTGCAATTACTTTTGCACCAACCTACTACTATTTTAATAAAATTAAAAAATTTATTTGAAAACAAAATAATAATGTCAGGCAAAACATTTAAAATAGATGTGCCCAACTGAGGTTTGGTTTAAAAAAATGATCTACACTGAACATTAGTCTGTGGGAAACTATTATAACCAGGGTATATTTTTAATGCTATTTATAACATTTATGGGACACTCTCCCTTTCATTCATCAGAGTTTAATCAAGGAATATAGATTAATTTAACTCAAACGAAAGAACATTTTTATACATTGCAGAATCAATAAAATTAATAATATCTTGTCTTTCACATTATCTACATGAGTACTTCTTAAATTTAATATGCATATAAATCACCTGGAAAACTTGTTAAAATGCAGATTCTGATTCAGGGGATCTAAGAGCCTGAGGTTCTGCATTATAAACAAATTCTCTGCTGCTGTTAATTGTGACGTCCAAGGACTATCCTTTAAGGACCAGTGCAGTTTCACACCATTTTTCCTCTCCATTACTGAAAATAATTGAAGGTTAAATATAATGACTCCCTTCCAAAAGGTCCCTTCCAAAAGGTTCCAAATGTATTTTGGAAATTTTAGGTTAAACATCATAAGCTGCAAGACTTAGGGTCTTCAAAATGCTAAAGTAGATTATCTCCAAGACGGGGATGAAACACAATTCAGTTTCTCAATTGTCTTGGTCATAAACCCATTTTCTTTTTTTTTATTTTTGGAAAACAATAATGTATTAGCATTTGACATTACATATATGCCTGGCAAATCTAAGGAATGCTAAATATCTTTGTACTTTAGTTTACTTGGGGAATATACAAAGAAGGGAAAAATTTTCCAATACTTAGCAATTAGCAATTTTTTTTTAGCAAAGACACGAAAGCATCAAAGATTAACTCTTTCTCCAATTTAAGCATTCAACTAACAAATACTAATTGAATACTTCCTACTTTTCAGGTGAGCTTTATCTTAAGGTTACAAAAATAAATTAAAGCAGTCTTAAGAAGAATAATCTTAAATAGTTTTTGAAAAATCTTGGAATCTGAGCAGGCTCTATTAGGATATAGCAAGCTATATTCTAACCTAATATAAGACTGGAATCTGTGCAGTCTTAATTTTCACTATAGCAAGAAATTTGAAAAGGATTTCCTTCCTTTGGCATGCTTTGTCTCAGTTTCAGGGAACTGTTTTCCCAGGTGACTTGTGCCTGCTGTTGCTTTTTTTATTTACTTGCAAGCTCTTTGACCTTAACATACCTATGCATCTGAATCACTGGAAGTAGACTTGATAAAATATATATTGCTGGGCCCCAATTTACTTTAGAATCACGAGAAGCAGGTCCTATTTAAATCTTTAGTACCCATACTGGGTAATGCTGAAGTAGCCAGCCTGGGAGTGCTACTTCAGCCAGCATTTTGTTATCAGTAATTAAACTTCCTGAATATTTAGGGATACAGCATTACAATGTCTGAAACTGACTCTCGAAAGGTTTAAAAGTGTGCATGTGTGTGTGTGTGTGTGTGTGTGCATGCATGCACGTGCATGTTGGGGGGAAAAAGAGAGAGTTCTAAGAGGAGAGAAAGATTTAACAATTGGTGACTCTAAATAAAGAATACATATACTTTTCATGCAACTATTTTTGTTGGTTTAAAGCTTTCAAAATAAAATCTGAGAAAATTTTCAACTGCCTCTTTCTACCACTACTATCACTGACCAGCAGCTCAGACACTCTGAATCAATCAGCTTTACTCTGTTGTATTTTTTTCCACTGCATTTATCACCTCCTGGTAGATGATATTTCTAAATTATTTATTGTTTATTGTCTGTCTTCTCCAATAGAAGGTAAACTCCACAAAGGCAAAGATTTTCTTCTCTTTTGCTTACTGATATTTTCCAAAAGTCTGGATTAGAGCCTGGCACATAGAAGCCACTAAGAATCAACTTTTTAATTTCTAAAATAAAAATTCTTATTGTGAAGACGTATTAGTCTGTTCTCATGCTGCTAATAAAGACATATCAGAGACTGGATAATTTATATAGGAAAGAGGTTTATTGACTCACAGTTCCACATGGAGAGGGAGGCCTCACAATCATGGTTGAAGGCAAATGAAGAGCAAAGTCGTGTCTTACATGGCAGCAGGCAAGAGAGAGCTTGTGCAGAGGAGCTCCCCTTTATAAAACCATGAGATCTCATAAGACTTATTCACTATCATGAGAACAGCATGGGAAAGACCTGCCCCCATGATTCAATTATCTCCCACTGGGCCCCTCCCACAACAAGTGGGAATTATGGGAGCTACAATTCAAGACGATATTTGGGTGGGGACACAGTCGAACCTTACCATTCTGCCCCTGGCCCCTTTTAAATCTCATGTCCTCACATTTCAAAACCAATCATGCCTTCCCAACAGTCCCCCAAAGTCTTAACTCATTTCAGCATTAACTCAAAAGTCCACAGTTCAAAGTCTTATCTGAGACAAGGCAAGTCACTTCCATCTATGAGCCTGTAAAATCAAAAACAAGTTAGTTACTTCCCAGATACAATGGGGGTACAATTAGTGTACCACAATTAAAAAATGTATTTGTTATACACAGAGAGACACTTGCCAAAGTGCTATGGAATAGCTAAAACCTCAATAGATTTCACATAGAAAAAATTATGCTACATCCCACTATTCACAGTAGCAAAGACTTGGAACCAACCCAAATGCTCATCAATGATAGACTGGATACAGAAAATGTGGCATATATACACCATGGAATACTATACAGCCATAAAAAAGGATGAGTTCATGTCCTTTGCAGGGACATGGATGAAGCTGGAAAACATCATACTGAGCAAATTAACACAAGAACAGAAAACCAAACACCGCATGTTCTCACTCATAAGTGGGAGTTGGACAATGAGAACACATGGACACAGGGAAGGGAACATCACGCACTGGGGCTTGTCAGTGGGTGGAGGCTAGGGGAGGGATAGCATTAGGACAAATACCTAATGTAGATGATGGGTTGATGGGTGAAGCAAACCACCATGGCACGTGTATACCTATGTAACAAACATGCATGTTCTGCACATGTACCCCAGAACTTAAAGCATAATTTAAAAAAAATTATGCCACATCCATTCAACATACTGCAATAATTTAGTCAAAGAATCAGCTTTCTACTCAGAAACATATAATGCTTCTAGATAACTCTGCAGGGAAAATGAGTAATTAAAATGAAAATGGAAATTACAAATCATATATAAAACAAAATTTATAAGTGTTATATATATAAAATCCTATAGGATAAGACCAAAGATTTATTTGGAACAAATCACATAGCTATAAATGTAAACTATACACACATTTATATATTAAGGTGAAAAATAAAAGGTTGAATGTACGTTAGCTATTCTTTCAAAAGGAGAATAAGCAAACTTTGTCTGGTAACCTCACCAGTATTTGTTCAATAGACTAAGGATACAAGTAGTGAATTAAGTACCTTTTCTTCTGAAACTATTACAAACAATTGAAAAGGAAGGACTCCTCTTTTAACTCATTTTTATGAGGCCAGCATCATCCTCACACTAGAACCTGGCAGAGAGACACAAAAAATGAAAACTTCAGGCCAATATTCCTGATGAATATCAATGCAAAAATCCTCAATAAAATACTGGAAAACAGAATCTAGCAGCACCTCAAAAAGCATATTCACCATGATCAAGTTGGTTTCATCCATGGGATGCAATGTTGGTTCAACATACACAAATCAATAAATGTAATTTATCATATAAATGGAACTAAAGACAAAAACCACATGATTATCTCAATAGAAGCAGAAAAGGCCTTCAATAAAATTCAACATCCTTTCATGTTAAAAACTCTCAATAAGGCCAGGCGCGGTGGCTCACGCCTGTAATCTCAGAACTTTAGGAGGCTGAAGTGGGCGGATCATGAGGTCAGGAGATCAAGACCATCCTGGCTAACACGGTGAAGCCCCGTCTCTACTAAAAATACATAAAATAGCCAGGCGAGGTGGCGGGCTCCTGTAGTTCCAGCTACTCGGGAGGCTGAGGCAGGAAAATGGCATGAACCCAGGAGGCGGAGCTTGCAGTGAGCCAAGATGGCACCACTGCACTCCAACCTGGGCGACAGAGTGAGACTCTGTCTCAAAACAAACAAACAAACAAACAAACAAAACTCTCACTCAGCTAGGTATTGAAGGAACATATTTCACAATAATAATAGCCACATATGACAAACTCACAGTCAATATCATACTAAATGGACAAAAGCTGGAAGCATTCTCATTGAAAACTGGCACAAGACAAGGATGCCCTCTCTCACCACTCCCATTCAACATAGTATTAGAAGTTCTGCCCAGAGAACTCAGGCAAGAGAAAGAAATAAAGGGTATTCAAATAGGAAGAGAGAAAGTCAAATTATCTTTGTTTGCAGATGACATGATCCTGTATCTAGAAAACCCCAGTGTCTCAGCCTCTTTTTAAGAAAAGCTTCTTAAGCTGATAAGCAACTTCACCAAAGACTCAGGATACAAAATGAATGTACAAAAATCACTAGTATTCCTATACACCAACAACAGGCAAGCAGATAGCCAAATCATGACTGAACTCCCATTCACAGTTGCTACAAGGAGAATAAAATACCTAGAAATACAGCTAACAAGGTGTATTAGTCAGAGTTCTCTGAAGGCACAGAACTAATAGATGTATATATGAAGGGGAGTATATTAAGGAATACTGACTTCCACAATCACAAGATGAAGTCTCACAAGAGGCTGTCTGCAAGCTGAGGAACAAGGAAGCCAGACTGAGTCGAAAAACCTCAAAAGTAGAGAAGCCAACAATGCAGCCTTTAGTCTGTGGCCAAAGGCCTGAGAGTCCCTGGCAAACCAGTGGTGTAAGTCTAAGAGTCCAAAAGCTGAAGAACTTGGAGTCTGATGTTCAAGGGCAGGAAGCATCCAACACAAGAGAAAGATGAAGGCCGGAAGACTCAGCAAATCATCTCATTTTACATTCTTCTGTCTGCTCTATTCTAGCCATGCTGGTAGTGGATTAAATGGTGCTCACCCATATTGAGGGTGGGTCTGCCTCTCCCAGTTCATTGACTCAAATATTAATCTCCTTCAGCAACACCCTCACAGACACACCCAGGAACAATATTTTGCATCCTTCAATCCAATGAATTTGACACAATATCAACCATCACACAAGGGAAGTGAAGGACCTCTTCAAGGAGAACCACAAACCTCTGCTCAAGGAAATAAGAGAGGACATAAACAAATGAATAAAAATTTCATGCTCATGAATAGGGAGAATCAATATCATAAAAATGGCCATACTACCCAAAGTAATTTGTAGATTCAATGCTATTCCCATTAAACTCCCATTGGCATTCTTCACAGAATTAGAAAAATGTATTTTAAAATTCATGTTCAACCAAAAATGAGCCCATATGGCCATGGCAAGCCTAAGCAAAAAGAACAAAGCTGGAGGCATCCCACTACCTGACTTCAAACTATACTGCAAGGCTACAATAATCAAAACAGCATGGTACTTGTCAAAAAAAAAAAAAAAAAAAAAAAACCAGACACATAGACCAATGGAACAGAATAGAAAACTCAGAAATAAGACCACACATCTAGAACCATCTGATCCTTGACAAAACTGACAAAAACAAGCAATTGGGAAAGGATTCCCTATTTAATAAATGGTACTGGGAGAACTGGCTAGCCATATGCAGCACAATGTAACTGGATCCCTTTCTTACGACTTACAAAAAAATTAACTCAAGATGGATTAAAGACTTAAATGTAAAACCTAAAACTATAAAAACCCTAGAAGAAAATCTAGGCAATACCATTCAGGACATAGTCACTGGCAAAGATTTTATGATGAAAATACCAAAAGCAATTGCAACAAAAGCAAAAATTGACAAATGAGATCTAATTAAACTGAAGAGCTTCTGCACAGCAAAAGGAACTATCATTGGGGTGAACAGACAACCTACAGAATGGGAGAAAATTTTTGCAATCTGTCCATCTGACAAAGGTCTAATATCCAGAATCTACAAAGAACTTAAACAAATTTACTAGAAAAAAAAAAAAGAAAACAGCATTAAAAGGTGGGCAAAGGACATGAACAGACACTTCTCAAAAGAAGACATTCCTGTGGCCAACAGACATATAAAAAAAAGGCTCGCCTGTAATCCCAGCACTTTGGGAGGCCAAGGTGGGCAGATCATGAGGTCAGGAGATCGAGACAATCCTGGCTAATACGGTGAAACCCCATCCCTATGAAAAAATAGAAAAAATTAGCCGGGCGTGGTGGCGGGTGCCTGTAGTCCCAGCTACTTGGGAGTCTGAGGCAGGAGAATGATATGAACCTGGGAGGCAGAGCTTGCAATAAGCCGACATCGTGTCACTGCACTCCAGCCTGGGCGACTGAGCAAGACTCTGTCTCAAAAAAAAAAAAAAGGCTCAAGATCACTGATCATTAGAGAAATACAAATCAAAATCACAATGAGATACCATCTCACACCAGTCAGAATGGCGATTATTAAAAAGCCAAAAAACAACAGATGCTGGTGAAGTTGCGTAGAAAAAGGAACACTTTTACACTCTTGGTGGGAACATAAATTAGTACAACCATTGTAGAAGATAGTGTGGCAATTCCTCAAAGATCTAGAAGCAGAAATACCATTTGACCCAGAAATCCCATTACTGGGTATATACCCAGAGGAGTATAAATCATTCTATTACAAAGATACGTGCAAACATATGTTCATTGCAGCACTACTCACAATAGCAAAGATATGGATTCAATCCAAATGCCCAGCAATGATAGACTAGACAAAGAAAATGTGGTACATATACACAATGCAGCCATAAAAAGGAATTACATTATGCCATTTGAAGGGACATGGATGGAGCTGGAAGCCATTATCCTCAGCAAATTAACGCAGGAACAGGAAACTGAACACCGCATGTTCTAACTTACAAGTGGGAGCTGAACAATGAGAATACATGGACGCTTGGGGGGAAACAACACACACTGGGGCCTGTCATGTGTTGGGGTGGGAGGAGGGAGAGCATCAGGGAGAATAGCTAATGGATGCTGAGCTTAATACCTAGGTGACGGATTGATCTGTTCAGCAAACCACCATGGCACATATTTACCTGTGTGACAAACCTCCACATCCTGCACATGTACCCTGGAACTTAAAAGTTCAAGAAAAAACAGAAATATAAATAAAGAAAGAATTTCAAGTG
The DNA here is from genome assembly GCF_000001405.40 of Homo sapiens. Lineage (NCBI taxonomy): Eukaryota > Metazoa > Chordata > Mammalia > Primates > Hominidae > Homo > Homo sapiens. Next base: position 105,115,028 of record NC_000003.12, read on the forward strand.
AAGATGATTAAATAAACAGTTATATATAGCAACAGCAGTATAAAATATGAAAAAATAGGCAAATATTGATGATTATTCATGAACTTGAGTTGGTAATAGGCATAATACCATGTATTAACTGTGTGGACTGTTTGATATGAAAATAAAAGGAAAACACAAAACTACTAACTTGCCAGCAGTAAAAATGTATAGTACTAACTGTAAATAATTGCAATAGCTCACATGTGATAATCTGCTCAGTTAACTCCTAACTAAATGGAGCCATACATGTCACACTGCAAGAGTGTACTGGAGACATATACTTTGAAGATGCTGCCTTCCACCTCCTAAAGTTTATTATCATAAAAATCAAGATCTTACTATGTCTCAGGTACTTATTACTAGTATATTAAACATATTTAGATGTTTTATTAATATATACTATGTAATAAACGGAAGAAGTAATTTGCTAAGAGTTTCTATAGGTGCAATTAATTTTTCCAAAATTTGCTTAACATTTGTTGGTGACTGTCACTAATTAAAGACTCAAAAGTAGAGTAAATATTTTTCAAAAATTACTTCTTAACCTCATTGCAAAGTCTTAATATAATTGAAAAGATACGCCTGACAGGATAAAACATCAGTATTCTAAATAAACTAACTAAAAATAAATTTTAATCTCTATTTCATTTTAAAAAAATCACATTCTTGCACATTCTGAAAAGTTAGCGACATATATCTTCTTCAAACCTCCCTCTCCTCCACCTTTCAGTCTTTCTCCTTCTGTGCCCTAACCCTACTATAACATCATTATCCACAACTCATGAATGGGGGTTCCTTGTCCCCAATGAATGATTGCTAAGATGCAATTACAATGAGTGAAGTTCCTAATAACAAAATCAACAAGGTGAATAAGCCAGCTATGTCCACTGACTGCACCAGTATTTGCTTAATAGGCTAAGGATGAAAGTAGCCCTGTTGTCAAGAGAGGCATTTGTACATTAACCTAAAATAGAGAATTTCCCTTACTAAGGATGATCTGGCTATAACCACTGCAGAGCACCAAATAGTTCAGCACTAGCAATCAACCTCAACGTTCTCATTCAGTACCAAATATTACAGTTGGGTAATCAGATAGAGTTGATTGGACAGGATGGCATAATGAGCATCTTCCCTCTATGAGCAAGAATGAATTGAACTCCCTGAAACACATACTATTTTAAAACTGTGATGGCAAAAGAGAATTTTTATAGCAATTCGAAGGTGTTTCTTGTTTATGAATCTATTAATACAGTTGACTACATACATAGATCAAAGGACAAATTCTTATTTTCAAATGCATGCCCCAAATTTATCTGATAAATTCATTGAACATTATTATTAAATGTAATAGTTGAAAATGTAATACAAGAAAACCATCTAATGTAAAATATTATTTCTCCCAAATTTCTCTACAGATTTTTAAAATGAGACAAGAGTTCACAATATCTCTACCCTTACTTAACATAATTCTGTTAGCCCATGTAATTAAAAACAATAAAATAAAATAGAATGTATAATTATATGGATTATTTATAGATAAGAAAAATATACATTAAAAAAACCAAGAAAATTCACGTAAAAATAGAACTATTAGAGAGATCAGCCTGGAAGCATATGAAAAATTTAACACAGAAAAATGTCCTAGCTATTCAGCTATTTCCAGTTTAAAAATGTGATAAATGAACATATTAAATTTAAAATAATAAAGATTAATATTCAAGTTATAATAATAAATCTGTCTAAAGCTATATTGATATGTTTGAAAACATGCAAAGACATAAGAGTGGAATCCTTCATAAATACATAGTTATGACATTCCTGGATGGGAATAAAAAGAAAAACATCAGCATAAGATCTGGGGACTAAAACATAAGGACAAACAAAGATGACAGAATAATACACACAATGTATATGCTCCAAAAATTATAAAAATAACATTACTAACAAGAAACTGGATGGAAAAAGGAGGAAAAAGTGAAAACTAGACCACTCTTGCTGACTTCCATCTCAGTATTAACTAAAAAGGTAATCCTTTGGTTGGGAGCAGTAGCTCATGCCTGTAATTCCAGTACTCTGGGAGGCCGAGGCAGGTGGATCACTTGAGGTCAGGAGTTCAAGACCAGTCCGGCTAACACGGTAAAACCCCATCTCCACTAAAAGTACAAAAATTAGCTGGGTGTGGTGGCATGTGCCTGTAGTCCCAACTACTTAGGAGGCTGAGGCAGGAGTTCCAACTACTTAGGAGGCTGAGACAGGAGAATCACTTGAACCAGGGAGGGGGAGGTTGCAGTGAGCCAATATGGTGCCACTGTACTCCAGCCTTGGCAAAAGAGCAAGACTATATCTCAAAAAAAAAAAAAGGGAAATCTTTTGAAGTTGATACATCATCTACTGTATACTTAAGTGGAACCACTTTGTAGCAGACTTATTTCTTGATTCAGTGCAAATTACACTTCCATTATCCATAAATAAGTTTTGTAAACAGGGTATTCCATTTTTATAGTGACCATTCTGGAAACTGCAGTTTGTGACCCATGGAGTCTGATGGCTATCAATAGCAATACCCACAGAGAAAATTTATCTACAAACTTTATAGCAACACTTGAACCCTCATTATGGACACTGTTTTCAAAATCGTGATTACAACCAAACTCTTAGTCCTAAAGTGTTGTTTATCATTATCATTATTAATTTCCAATTCCTCCTGACTGGGAATTATTGAAAACCCTCTAGAACATTAACAGAGCTCCCCATGTCTGGTCCAGCCTGACTTCCTCTTCTCAGAGACCTTCTTTTCTGCTGTATTTCTTGTAAAGTATTCCATGTTATTCTTTCTGGAATGGTTTCAAACTTATATCAAAACTCTCACTACCAATCACAGAAAGCTGTAAGTTGCTGTTTAGATCCTTGCTCTTGTCAGTGTTATGACATTTGCTGTGCTTGAAGGTTCCCTGAAGAAATGGCTGCCGTGTGTTACTATGACCTTGGGAATGGTCTCTCACAGAATGGAGCCTGCGTTATCCTTGTGAGGGCCTGTGTGCTGTTCTCTCACCACTGGGTCTATGTTCTCTACCAGGCTTCAGCAATGAGGAGGATGTCTAAATTTATCACTTTTTGTTAGGAAGAATAACAAGTACTTTCTGGGAAGGAAAATGAGCGCCATGATTTACTGTGATCAACACTTAGCCTTAGCCCTCCCCATTCTTTTTTTGTTTGTTTGTTTGAGACGGAGTCTCGCCCTGTTCCCCAGGCTGGAGTGCAATGGCGCAGTCTCGGCTAACTGCAACCTCCGCCTCCCGGGTTCAAGCGATTCTGCTGCCGTAGCCTCCTAAGTGGCTGGGATTACAGGCGCGCGCCACCATGCCCGGCTAATTTTTGTATTTTTAGTAGAGACGGGGTTTCACCATATTGGTCAGGGTGGTCTCGAACTGACCTCGTGATCCACCCGCCTCGGCCTCCCAAAGTGCTGGGATTACCGTGCCTGGCCAGCCCTTCCCATTCTTAATGTCTCCTGAAGTACGTTAAAGATTTCCTTTTTAACCATTTCATGTCTAGTTTTATGTGAGCTTGAGGATAATTGGTGACATTCACTCAATGTTATATATTTTAATGTAAATAAGTAACAGTAATTCCTTGTAAGTAAAGGTGTTTTCTCTTTATTTCTTCCTATTTTAAGATCACAAATCATACACTGATTTTAATAGAAAGAAGAAACTTTCAATTGCATAAAATGAAATTTATACTCACAGATACAATATTAAATTAGTGCTTTTCAAACTTTAAAGTACTTAAGAATCACTTAGGAATCTTGTTAAAATTCAGATTTTGATTCAGTAGGTCTGAGAAGGTGTCTAATATTCTGCATTTCTAACAATTTTCTTAGTGATGCCAATGCTACCTAATTATGGGCCTCACTTTTATTTGCAATTATTTAAGTAGACTTTATTATGAATGGTCATTGGAGGATTATGCAAGCTTAAACAAACACAGACACCCACAAAAACACATAAATATAGTCATCCACTGCCTACGGAAATTTTAGTCAATGATTACCACATGTGTGATAGTGGTCCCATAAGATTATAAAGACATTGCAAAATTCCTATTGCATAGCGACGTTGCAGTCATCATAATGTTGTAGCACAACACATTACTCAGGTATTTATGATGATGCTGGTATAAACAAACCTACTGTGCTGCCAATTGTATAAAAGTATAACACATATAATTATTTATACTACCTAATACTTGATAAGGAAAATAAATGAGTACATTACTGGTTTACATTTACTATACATTTTATCTTTATTTTATAGTATACGCCTAATTATTAAAAAAAATCATAAAACAGCCTCAGGCAAGTTCTTCAGGACGTATTCTAGAACTCATTGTTATAGGAGATGATAACTCCATGTGTGTTACTGCTCCTGAAAACCTTCCAGTTGGACAAGATGTGGAGGTGGAAGAAAATGATATTGGTTATCTTGACCCTGGGTAGGCCTGGGCTAATGTGTGTATTTGTGTGAAGACAGTGATATTGGTTATCTGGACCCTGGGTAGGCCTGAGTTAATGTGTGTATTTGTGTATCAGTTTTTAGAGAAAAAAGTTTAAAAAGTTAAATAAAATATTTTAAATATTTTAAAAACATAAAATAGCTTATAGAATAAGAATAAAAGAAATGTTTTTGTACAACTGTACAATGTATATGTGTCTTAAGTTTTAGTATTATTTTTAAAAGTCAAAAAGTTTAAATATTAGTTTGTAAAGTAGAAAAGTTATAGTAAGCTATTGCTAATATATTATTAAAGAAAAGTATTTTTATAAATTTAGTGTAGTCTAAGTGTACAGTATTTATGAGGCCCACGGTATTGTATAATAACATCTTAGGCATTCACATTCACTCATTATTCACTCTCTGACTCACCCAGTTCTGCAAGCTCCATTTGTGGTAAATGTCCTATACAGGTGTATCATTTTTCATCTTTTATACTATACTTTTACTGTACCTCTTGTATGTTTACATACACAAATATTTATTGTGTTACAATTGCCTAAAGTATTCAGTTCAGTAACATGATATACATGTTTGTAGCCTACCCGCAACAGGCCATACCATATTTGTAGCCTATAGGCTACTAAACTATAGGATATACCATATAGTGCAGTAGGCTATACCATCTAGGTTTGTGTAGGTAGACGCCATGATGTTCTCACAATGACAAAATTGCCTAACAACACATTTCTCAGAACATATCCTCATCGTTATTTGATTCATAACTGTATATGCAAACACTCAAAAAATTTTTTTAAAATAAGCTTCCATAAATCAAAAAGCATGGTACTTCTTATGAATTTTTTTTTCTGATACTTAAGAAGTTTTTTTTTTTTTTGCTTTCAGTAAAGAAAAAGAAATCTTCATAAAACACCATCATACCAGAAGTTGAAGATTCTCTCTTGTAACTCCTAATGGACTTTCTCAGACTTTGTAGCAATTCTTGGAAAATCAAAGCCATTTGTATAATGAGGTAAACTGAAAACAACTACACCAACAATAAGGGTATGCACATGACACCATTAGCAGGAATATAAGCCAGCCTCCATAACAAGAAAGGTTTGGTGTACACGCATGAGACAGTTTAATCAAGCCAGGGAGAATTTGTTGAAGTAAATAACATGCTTCCAGAGACCATGTGCTGATGAACTGAAAGTATTGGCTAGGTGCGGTGGCTCACGCCTGCAATCCCAACAGTTTGGGAGGCCGAGATGGGCGGATCACGAGGTCAGGAGTTCAAGACCAGCCTGGCAAAGATGGCAAAACCCTGCCTCTACTAAAAATACAAAAAAATTAGCAGGGAGTGGTGATGGGTGCCTATAATCCCAGCTACTTGGGAGGCTGAGGCAGAGAATTGCTTGAACTCGGAAGGGCGGAGGTTGCAGGGTTGCAGTGAGCCGAGACCACGCCACTGCACTCCATCCTGGGCGACAGAGGGAGACTCCATCTCAAAAAAAAAAAAAAAAGAAAAGAAAAGAAGAAAAAAAAAAGAAAATATTTTCAACCAGTTCTATAATATTTAAGAGATATTTGTATCTTTTTTATACAAAGATATGTGCAGTTATAAGATAACCATTCTAACCACAGTTTAAAAGAACTGAGAGAGGATTTAATATTTAAAAATTTATTTCATAAATCTTCATTGTAAAACAAGTTACTTGAGAAGAGTAATATAATAATGATGTTTTCATTTACTGAGAACCTAGTAAGTGCCACCACATACTATGCAAAGCACTTTACATGAGTTAGCTTATTTAATACTCAAAATCTCCCCTTGAGACAGGTGTTATTATTAGTCCCACTTTACAGATGAAGAAACTGAGTCTCAAGGAAATTATACAAATTTTCCAAGGTAACACAGCTAATTAATATTAGACCTGAGATTCTAACCTAATTCTGTATGATTCTAAACAATGAGTTGTTTAAATATGTTGTATCATTTCCAAGCATCTTTCTTTATCAATGGTTCTCAAAATTTGTTCAGAAACCTTAGCATCTCCTGGGAACTTGTTAGAAATGCAAATACTTGGTCCCCATTTCTGACACCTTAGAACAGAAAATCTAGAAGTGGAACCGAGTAATCTGTGCTTTAACAACCCTCCAGGTAATGTTGATGCATATTAAAAAGTAAGAATCAGTGATATGTATTAACATTAATATCATACATTAGAAATTTGATTTTTCTTAGATGAGGTATGATCAGAAGTGTGAATTTGGACATTTTAATGGCATTCTATTTAAATGAATGCCATTAAAGATGTTAAGAAGGTGTACCTACACAAAAGAATTTCTCCTTGACATCTTGGCTCCTGGTTACACTTCTTTAGGAGGGAACCAATTATTTCATAAGATTAAGGATAAGGCAAAAAATGTATGCACTTAATCACATTTCCTAGAACACACATTTTCATGCTGCTACTTATAATAAATACTTTTATGTTTCTTAGTTTTTAAGAGAAGCCCCCTAATGTTTTATTTGATTGAATACACTTATTGTAATATGAATTGTCAAAAAAAGTATACTCTCTGTGAAGAACCAGGTAAAATCAAGAACCTGATTTTACCCTACAATCAGGCTAATAAGTTAGCCTGCCACAATGTGGTAAACACTGTCAGAAGTCAGAAGACTCCTAGGTCAGAGACAAAGGATTTTATTAATCACGGCAATAACAGTAGCCAGAGTATCAACTTTTTCTTATACAGAATCCCCAAGTCTCAGTTACCACAGAGGGACCTGATGCAAAGAGGGCCAGGTGATACTTGCACACACAGTGAATTGCATTACCCGAGAGGAACACTGACCTGAGCTAGCAGTACCTTTTTTAATGGGCAGTAGATATGCTTGACCTTTACTCTAGAAGGAGCCACTATTATCTTTCACAGCTATAAGCAAACTTGCTTTTGCTCTGAAGGGAGACACACTCTCTACTTCCAACATTGTTTGTTATACAAGCATCCTTGAAAAGATAGCCTAGAGAAAAGTCTATTAGTGCCCCTGTTTGGAAGACATACAGAAACGTAAGAGATCCATGGAGAATTGTTTCCCAGTACCTTCATTTCATATATGTTTGACAAGACTAGCCCTTTTCTTGAAAATGCCAAATGGATATAGCCAAGAGTTGCACAGCTCTAAAACGTTAGATTTGTCTGTAATGCAATTGCTTGTTAAATTTTTAAAAGATGACATATGCTGTATAGTTTAAGGTCATTTTTAACTTGGAAAAAACACATTCTGAGCAGGAAATTTTCTAGATTATCTGAAATAAGTTCTACTTCTCATAATTCAATATAATATGGACATACATGTCATTTAATATTAAATTATAAATCAAGAATACATTTTGGAATCTCCCACTAAAATCTCAGAATTTAGCTTTTCTCACTGTGTGGCGTTACTTAGCGATAAGCCTAGCAACACACTGCTTCTAAAGAGGAGCCGAAGTATCAAATTGGGGTGGCCCAAAAAGAATCACTTAGAAAAACAGCAGTTATTCACAATGCAAGATATTAATGTCTGATACAATTAGGAGCAACACTTATTTCCCACTTTGAAATCAATTCTCTGATTTAAATGTTCACAACTTCTGCCTAAATCAAGGGAAAATAAAAGGGTGAGGGTTGGTTTTTGAGGAAGCCTGGGTGAATTAATGTGGTTTCATTTACATTTCTTTCTTTGCAAATAATATCTCCTTAATTCATTAGTATAACCTATGAACAGCTACTGTGGATGTGTTCTAGATTTTGCTATCAGGTGATAATTGTTTCTGGTCCACATTTTCTGTTCTAAATTAATTAACTTCACATGCTAAGTTGTTTGTTAAGGAGATATTTGTTTTCTAACAGTAAGATGAATTGCAATATCCAATAACTGCTCTTCAAATACCTTTTGGAACAAAGAGTAAATAAACAGAAATGATAAAAGGAAAGTAAGAAAGGAAGGTGGGAGAGAAGGAAGGAGGGAAGGAAACATGAAAATAGAGAGAAAAGAGTTGAAAACAATTTGGTATATAACTATTTATTTAATGATTATGGAAAACAATGAAGGAGAACTATTAAAATGTATTTTTGTTTTTCAAGTTAAAAGTAGGACCTCTTCCCAAAGGACATTTGTTTGGGATTTTGGCAATAAGTTACTGTAAAAGCAACAGTTCAAACATCAATGAATACATACAATTTTTATAAGGCACAATAGTGCTGAAAGCTTAACAGAAATTTAATGTTGAAGTTTGTAAGTTCTTATTGCCTTGACATTGTTTATTACTCGGAATTGCATTAGGACATTAGGCTTCACTTCACCTGTTCTCATGTCAAAACTGATCTTTCAGAATTCCTCCTCTGATATTCATTTGCTTCCTTTCCTTATGATATTCCATCTTTGACAAATATGTTCATGTAAATGTGCAGAGTAAAACATAAATTATTCTACAGATTCTTAAGAAAGTGCCCTTAATCTATAGTATTATATTAATATATTAATGTATAAAATCAAAACTCTTCTGGTGATTTTCTTTTGTAAAGCCCAAGAAAGTAAGAGGTGTATAATCACACACCACATGCAGAAAGTATACAGTATATATTGTTATTTAATACATGGGCACGACAGTAATTTAAAGTAAAAATCAAGGCAAGATTGTTGCCTAGGGACCACAGGAATGATATGCAATACATTAAATGCTAGGAATGTGTTTCAATCATTATTCTATGTAACAAAACACCAATTTAGTAGTTTAAAACAACAAACATTTCATTTTATTACAATTCTGCAATTTGGGTTAGGTGCACATCTAGGCAATTCTTTTGCTGGTCTTTTCTAGAAGCACTCAAGTGGGTGAAGTCATATGGTAGCTTGACTGGGGCTAAAAAGTCTCAATCACATTTCTGATGGTAGTTGTTCACTGGTTGGTCTTGTACACCTCAGCTACAACAGCTCTTCTCTGTCTCACATTGCCTTTAATCCTGCACTGGCTAGACAGAGCTTTCACTTAATGGTAGAAGTGTTCCAAGACAGCAAGGATAGAAACCGCCAAGCCTATTGAGGCCAAGTCTCTTTTGCCATACTCATGTCACTGTTGCCATATTCATCTGGTGAAAGCAACTCACAGATGAGCCCAAATTCTAGAGGTGGATAAACAGATTTTACCTTTTGATTAGAGAGGTGGTGAAAACATTTTGCAAAAAGGCATGAACACAGAGATAAGGAGAATTATTGAAGTCATTATTACAAGTAATATAACACAAGATTGAGTCAAAGTTTGTCCTAAGATTTATAAGTATGCTTAAAAATCAGAAACAGAATAATCACACACAGCACACCCACCCATACACACAATGCTCTTCCAAGTTTAGGGTACCAGATATTACATAAAGTCACCATTCCATTTATCCCCTCACCACCAAGACAATCCTGCCCCAGCATTTCTGCCTTCACTTTTGAAGCTAGATTATTCAAGAGAGTACTTAGACCATAAAATATACTTAAGTCTTGACCGTTGTCCTAACCTACATCTACCACTCAGAGGAACTTGCAGTGTTTACCTTGCCAACTGTCAATGAGTGAAGCCTTCAGTTAAAACCAATCCGTTGTTTTAAGGGAATTTACAACACAGACTTCTTCCAAAAAAGATAGAGATTAGAGGCCGGGCACGGTGGCTCACGCCTGTAATCCCAGCACTTTGGGAAGCCGAGGCCGGCAGATCACGAGGTCAGGATATCGAGACCATCCTGGCTAACACGGTGAAACCCCGTCTCTACTAAAAATACAAAAAAATTAGCCGGGCATGGTAGCAGGCGCCTGTAGTCCCAGCTACTCGAGAGGCTGAGGCAGGAGAATGGCATGAACCTGGGAAGCAGTGCTTGCAGTGAGCCAAGATTGTGCCACTGCACTCCAGCCTGGGCGACAGAGCGGGACTCCATCTCAAAAAAAAAAAAAAAAAGAGAGAGAGATTAGAAACTCTAAAACTCAATTCAGAAAGCATCCTTCTTTCTATGTTATGTGTTTTTATAATTTTTTAAATTTCTGATAGCCCTTTAGGAGTCTAAAGTTAAAATTTATTCCCTTAAAGAAGAATGTTCACTCTGGAGAGCCCATGAAGTAGACAAGATTATTTAAAATATTTTACTATACTATAATAAGTCTTCCTTTATCTTCTTTTCTTTTTTTTTCTTTCTTAGACAAGATCTTACTCTGCCTCAAACTTCTGGGCTCAAGTGATGCTCCTGTCTCAGCCTTTTGGATAACCAGGACTGTAGACATGAGTAACCATGCGTGGCTAATTTTTTGTTGTTTTTTAAGAGATGAGATCTCTCCATGTCGCCCAGGCTGGTTTCAAACTACTGGCCTCAAGTGATCTTCCCACCTCAGCCTCCTGAGTATCTAGGTTTATAAGCATAAGCCACTGAGCCCAGCTATGATTTCCTTTATTTCTATCTACTGTAGCATTTGGGTTTGAATGTTGCTTTTCACGCTCATCATCTGGCATCTGTCTTATTTCTAAATCCAGAAATAATCATCAGTTTTTATGAAATGTAGCCTACTGAAATGGAAAAAGTCTAAATTCCAAATTTTGTATTAATTTCCTAAAAATCCCTTATCTAGAGAGGCAATATGGAACATAGACCTCACCTAATCCCAAACATCAGAGCAAGACTGAGTTGAAAAGTGAAATTTCCAGCAATGACCTTAAAAGGAGGGAAAACTGAAGGCAAATAGGTCTTGATATCTCCAGCCACACATGATGACTTTAGTCCAGTAATATTATCTATTAAATACTAGCCTGTTTTTTGATGCCAGGTAGGACATGAGAGAAATCAATCCTTGACCCAGGGCGTATGTTTAAAAAATTATACAAAAGAATGCAGAACAGGGCATGAAAATTTGAGTGCAAGCTACTCTCTTAGATTATATATTTTCTTTTGCTAATAACTTTGATAAAATAAAATATTATTTTGAACCTGCAAGTCAAAAATTAAGAAAGAAAAAGATTTTTTAAATTCAAAAATCTATAGGATTTCTTCATGACTAAAAACGTTGACTTGAAAAAAATAAAGCTTGAAATTTTACATCCACTAATAAAATATAAGACCCGGGGAAGCTGGGGGAAAATCCAAAAGCTTTACTGAAAGCTCTAAGGTCAACGTAAAATAATTTTAAAAAGAGTTGTGGACTTATCATAGATTCTAACTGGACAAGTTCAATTTGTTTTGTGGAATTTTCTTGCTTTCTCTGTTCATCAAGACTTCAAACCATGCTTCCTTTTAGAAAAGGAACCAAAGCAGGTCTCCACATTATGTCCTGCAGATGAAGTTCTACCATGTTCAAGACACCTTTGCTACATAGCTCAATAAGGAAATAGAGTCAGAAGGAACCTTAGAGAACATAAACTTTTTTTTTAATAATTTCAACTTTTATTTTAGATTCAGGGGGTACACGTGTAGGTTTGTTATCTAGGTATATAGCGTGATGCTGAGGTTTGGGATATGAATGATTCTGTCACTCAGAGAGTGAGCATTCAACAGTTTTTCAACACTTGACTTCCTACTTCTCTCTTCCTTCTATTAGTCCTCAGTGTCTACTGTTGCCATCTTTATGTCTATGAGTACCCAATATTTAGCTCTGACTTGTAAGTGAAAACATGCAGTATTTTATCTTTTGTTCATGTTTAAATTTACTTAGTATAATGGCCTCCAGCTCCATCCATGTCACTACAAATGACATAATTTCTTTCTTTTTAATGGCTGTGTAGTATTTCATGATGTATATGTGCCAAATTTTGTATCCAATCCACTGTTGTTGAGCATCTCCGTTGATTCTCTGTCTTTGCTATTATGAATAGTCAGCAATGAACATACAATTGCATGTGGTTTTGGTAGAATGATTTATTTTCTTTTAGATATATACCCAGTAATGAAATTGCTAGGTTAAATGGTAGTTCTGTTTTAAGTGCTTTGAGAAATCTCCAAACTGCTTTCCACAGTGGCTGAGCTAATTTACATTTCCACCAACAATATATGTGTTTTGTTTTCTCTGCAGCCTGGTAAGCATCTGTTTTGTTTTGTTTTGTTTTGTTTTGTTTTGTTTTGTTTTTGACAGAAAAGCCATTCTGAGTGATGTGAGTTACTATTTCATTGTGGTTTTGATTTGAATTTCTCTGATGATTAGTGATGATGAGCATTTTTTCGTATGTGTTGGCTGCTTGTATGTATGTCTTCTTTTGAGAACTGCATATTCATGTTGTTTGTCCACTTTTTAATGGAGTTATTTGTTTCTTTGCATATTGAACTGTTTAAGTTCCCTGTAGATTCTGGATACTAGACCTTTGTTGTATGCATAGATTGAAAATATTTTCTCCCATTCTCTAGCTTGTCTGTTTATTCTGTTCATATTTATTTTGAGGTGCAGAAACTCTTCGGTTCAATTAGATCCCATTTGACAACATTTTTTAGGTTGCAATTGCTTTTGAGGACTTAGTCATAAATGATTTTTCAAGGCCAGTGTCGAGAATGGTATTTTCTAGGTTTTCTTCTAGGATTCTTATAGTTTGAGGTCTTACATTTAACTCTTTAATTCATCTTGAGTTAATTTTTATATATGATGAATGGTGGGGATCAAGTTTCATTCTTCATATAGCTAGCCAGCTATCTCAACTTCATTTATTGAATAGGGAGTTCTTTCCGCAGTGTTGATTTTTGTCAACTTTGTCAAAGAACAGATAGGTGTGGGTGAGTGGCTTTATTTCCGGGTTCTGTATTCTATTCCATTGATCTATGTTTCTGTTTTTGTACCAGGACAATGGTGTTTTTGTTACTGTAGGCTTATAGAATAATGTTTGGTAATGTGATGCCACCAGCTTTGTTCTTTTTGTTTAGGGCTATTCGTTCTCTTATTTGGTTACATATAAATTTTAGAATAATTTTTTATCTAATTCTGTGAAAAATGACATAGTGTGATATGAATAATGTTGAATATGTAGATTTCTTTGAGCAATATGGCCATTTTTTAAAATGATACTGATTCTTCCAATCCATGAGCGTGGAATGATTTTGCATTTGTTTGTGTCATCTACAATTTCTTTCATCAGTGTTTTGTAGTTCTCTTCACAGATATATTTTACCTCCTTGGTTAGATGTATTCTTAGGTATTTTGCATCTTTTTTGTGGCTATTGTAAATGGGATTTCATTCTTTATTGACTTTCAGCTTGAACATTATTGGTATATAGAATTACTACTGATTTTTTACCGCCCATCAAGCTAAGAAGCTACTGATTTTTGTACATTGATTTTGTATCCTGAAATTTTATTGAGGTAGCTTATCAGTCCCAGTAACCTTTTGGCAGAGTCTTTAGGGTTTTCTAGGTATGAAATTATATTATCAGTGAAGAGAGATAGTTTGACTTCTTCTTTTCCTACTTGAATGCATTTTATTTCTTCCCCTTGTCTAATTGCTCTGGCAAGGACTTCTAGTGCTATGTTGAATAAGAGTGGTGACAGTGGGCATCCTTGCCTTGTTCCTGTTCTCAAGGGGAATATTTCCAGCTTTTGTCTGTTCTGTATGATGATGGCTGTGGGTTTGTCATAGAAGACTCTTATATGTTGAACCAACCTTGCATCCCAGAAATAAAGCCTACTTGATCATGGCGAATTAACTTTTTCATGTGCTGCTGGATTCAGTTTGCTAGTATTTTGTTGAGGATTTTTGAATTTATCTTCATTAGGGATATTGACCTGTAATTTTATATTTTCATGTGTCTTTGCCAGGTTTTGGCATCAGGGTGATGCTTGCTTCATAGAGTCAGTTAGGGAGGAGTCCTTCCTCAATTTTTTTTGAAATACCTTCAGTAGAATTGACACCAGCTCCTCTTTGTACATCTGGTAAAATTCAACTGCAAACCCATCTAGTACTGGGCTTTTTTCTGGTTAGTAGGTTTTGTTCTTTACTTATTCAATTTTAGGGCTCAATGTTGGTCGGTTAAAGGTTTCAATTTCTTCTTGATTCAATTTTGGGAGATTGTGTGTTTCTAGGAATTTATTTGTTTCCTGTAGATTTTCTAATTTATGTCCATATAGGTGTTCATAATAGTTTCTGAGGATATTTTATTTTTCTGTGGGATCTGTTGTAATGTCACATTTGTTGTTTCTAATTGTGCTTATTTGTATCTTGTCTCTTTTCTTTGTTAATCTAGCTAGCAGTTTATTGATCTTGTTTATTCTGTCAAGAACTGGCTTTTGGGTCTTGTTTATTCTGTCAAGAACTGGCTTTTGGGTTCATTAATTTTTTGTATGGATTTTTGGGTCTCAGTTTTGTTCAGTTCCAATCTGATTTTAGTTATTTCTCCTGCTAGCTTTGGGGTTAGTTTGTTCATATCTTTTTAGTTCCTCTAGGTGTAATGTTAGATAATTAATTTGAGATCTTTCTTTTTCTGGTAGGCATTTGTACTATAAACTTTACTCTTAACTCTGCTTTTGCTGCATCCCAGATATTTTGGTATGTTGTATCTCTATTTTCAGTTATTTCAAAGAATTTTTTATTTTAGCTTTAATTTTGTTGTTTACCTGTAAGTCATTCAGTAGCAAATTGTTTAATTTTCATGTAATTGTGTAGTTTGGGAAGATGTTCTTGGTATTGATTCCTATTTTCATTCCACTGTGGTCTAAAAGTATGGTTGGTATAATTTCAATTTTTTTTAATTTATTAAGACTTGCTTTATGGCTGAGTCTGTGGTCAATCTTGGATTATGCTTTGTGTTGAAATGAGAATTATATTCTGTGGTTAATGAGTGGCATGTTCTGTACATGTCAATTAGGTTTAATTGGTAAGTGTCAAATTTAAGTCCAGAATTTATTTGTTAGTTTTCTGCCTCAATGATCTATCTACACTGTAAGTGTGGTGTTGAAGTTCTCCACCACTATTGCATGACTGTCAAAGTCTTTTTTTAGGTCTAGAAGTAGCTGTTTTATGAATCTGAGTGCTTCAATGTTGGATGAGTATATGTTTATGACAGTTAAGTCTATTTGTTGAACTGAAACTTCTGTCATTATGTAATGCCCGCTTTGTCCTTTTTTTTTTTTTTAGCCATTGTTGGTTTAAAATGTTTTCTGATATAAGAATAATGACTTCTGCTCTTTATGTTTTCCATTTGTGTCATGGCTCTTTCTCCCAGCCTTTCCTTTGAGCATATGAGTGTTATTACTTATGAGATGGGTCTCTTGAAGATAGCAGATAGATGGGTCTTTTTTTAAAATTCAACTTGCAACTCTGGACCTTTTACATGAGGCGTTTAAACCATTTACTTTCAAAGTTGATATTGGTGTGTGAGATCTTGACCCTACTGTGAAGTCATTAGCTAGTTGCTGTTTCGTCTTTATTATGTGTTTGCTTTACAGGATCTGTGGGATATGTACTTCAGTGTTTTTTTTTTGTTTTGTTTTGTGGTAGCAGGTATCGTTCTTTCAGTTCCATGTTTACAAATCCCCTAAAGATCTCTTGTGAGGCTGGTCAAGTAGTAACAAATTCTCTTAGTGCTTGCTTGTCTGAAAAATATTTTACTTCTTCTTCACTTATGAACCTTAGTTTGGCAGGATTTGAAATTCTTGATTGGAATTTCTTTTCTTTAAGAATGCTGAAAATAGGCTTCCAATCTCTTCTGGCTTGTAGCGTTTCTGCTGAGAACTCTGCTTTAGCCTGATGGGGTTCCCTTTGTAGAATTATTTGTAATAACTGTTCTGATAATGGAAGAGAAGATGTCATGTGGCAGGAAGTATGAAGACTATAAACTGAGACACTTCTGCCTTTTCATAACCTAAGATAAGTTACTAAGAAAGCCCTACAAATTTTCTAATACAAAGTAAGAAATATTCAAAAGAGTTGGAGGTTGGGATGACAGTTATTTGAAATAGCATTGTGCTATATGCTAATATCTCCATATAGAAAATAGTCTCCCTTGTTTTCCACATCACTTGATTTAAAACTACAATAACACAAATATTATATATTTTTATAAAACAAATATATTTTTAATCCAATTTCAAATGATTTTTCCCATAAACACCTATGAAGAGTAATCTATAGGCTGAGAGTAATGCTGTGTCTTGAGTCTATATTATTTGGCAAGGTAATCAAGGATAAGATTTTTTCAGGCAATAAATTATAAAAAGTACTGGACAGCACAAGGGTGATGAGAAATGCCTGGAGAATCCATTAGCTTTAATAATTTTTACTAGTAATAAGAAACTCTTTTTGTAACATTATAAACATGCCAACATAGTTTTTTTTATCATTGGCTCATTATGGCACAATCTACATGAAATTCATCAATCAACAATTATATCATTAGATACACTGAAACTACATACTATTTTTGAGATCTTTTCCTTTTATTCACCAAATGCCTACTACACATTACTAAGTAATTTATACACTGTATCTCATAAAACCCTCACAACACTCTGTTAAAAAGTATCATTAACCCCATATCAAAAATAAGGGATCCAAAGCTTATGATGATTAATTTTCTTGACCAAGATATCCCAGGCCATACCTAATGGAACTATGTATTATCAAACTTATGAACATCTGATACCAAAAGCTATCACACCAGGCCCTACCATGCGTCCTCACTTTCTCTTCCAGTATTCTGTCCTATATTATCTTCTGATTTCTTTCTTAAAGTAGTGCACAGGTTTGGAACCAGAGAAACTTAAAATAATATAGAACTATATACAGCTTTAGAAGTTTAGAACTCATTGAAGTTCTAAAGCTCAATTTTATAACAATTTATACTCAATTTTCTTATATATAAAGTGAGAAAAATTATCATGGAGAATCATTATAAAGATTAGAGGGAGATATATAGATACAGAGTTACAGATAATATACCTATTGAATGGGCTTATATATCTACATATTTATTTATCTGTATCAATAATTATATCTATATGTGTGTGTATAAAATGCTTAGTATATACTTGTTAGCCAATATATGCTAAACACCACCTGTTTACCTCTAATCAATATTATTTGAAATCAGCAGGCACCTCTATTCATCATGCTCTTTACCAATGCAAAGTGATTCTGCTATTACCTACCAAAAGTCCATGTCTTACTAAATTCCGTGGCTTTAAGTGAAAAACTGTATATTGTAGACTGAGTGCTGACTGGAAGACCATTCATTTGTTTAACAAAAATGTGGTTAATGATTCTGTCTAAAAATTAAAAATGGTATATTATTGCCCAATCTATAGATGCAGGATATAATATTATCATTAATAATACTATATTTAGGTAATTGCTGTCATTTATAAAACACCTACTACTGACAAACAGAATGAGCTGCACTGAACAAATAGTATCTCGCTTAATTTATCTAGGCAGCTTATTGACTCATGAAGATTTTACTATACAATCGCTTCATGCCCACTTATGCTTGAGTTATAGTAGAAAATTAAAGAGGAGGGGCATGGAAGAGTGAATGCTTTAATTCTTGTTAAAGAATAATAAATGGTTTTAAGAAAAGTACTTCTGCTTCTGCCCTCCAGTGAACAAGATTTTCCAAAGGACCTTTCTTTTCTGGAATACAAAATATCAGCTACTGCACAATAAGCACAATGTGGAGTATGGTTCCTGGAAAAGCACCTCACTGTGGCTCATGAAACTAGGCTCTGACAGCTGCCCATGAGAGCAGTCCACAACTGATGTTCACAATTGTATCCTATAATTGGTACTGCTTTTATTTATTTTCTTTTTGGCCCATTAATATTCAAAAGAAGAAACTTGGGTTTGATTTCCTTTACCACCTTACCATCGTGTCTTTGATCACACTACCCATATCTGAAGTGACAATACTGCTAATGTGTCATCATGAGGTACTTCACGCCTTTTTGGAAGCTGTCCATTTAAAAAATTGTTAGAACTTCTATTAAATACATTTCTCAAATAATAGTCTTCCTTTCCACAAGAGTCTGTGATTGTTTAACTTACTATTCTTAATATATCTATGTGAATTCAAGCTAAACTTTTTTCTTACTTGATTTTGAAAAAACAAACTGTAAAGCCTTAAACAGGAAGATAATTAACACTATAGTCTTCAGTGAAGAGATAGCCTCTGCTTTTAAGAGAAAATCATTTTCTAAAAAAGTGACACATTAACCAGTTAGTTTTCTCTAACTTAAATTTGCTAATAAGATTAAATGCTAAATGCGGCATTGTTGGGGAGCAGAGGAAGAGGGAAAGGAAGAGAAAGCTACAGAGTGTGGCACACTTTCTTTTTTTTCTTTTGAGATGGAGTCTCGCTCTGCCATGCGCCACCATGCCCAGCTATTTTTTGTATTTTTAGTACAGACAGGGCTTCACCATGTTGGCCAGGATGGTCTCGAACTCCTGACCTTGTGATCCACCTGCTTCAGCCTCCCAAAGTGCTGGGATTACAGGCTTGAGCCACTGTGCCTCGCCAAGTGTGGCACGCTTTTGAGAAAGGATAGAAATGGGGAACTAAGATATCAAACCCTTGAGGTAACAGATTGCCAATGTCAAAATAAAGGAGAGCACTAACACCAGATTCACAGTAATAATTTCAAATGTTGTGTATAAGACTAACCCGGAAGATCAAAACATATCTCAGGAAGGTTGTCAGCAGTGTAGAATATATACCTAATTTTATCTCACAAAAGTAAGTAAAAAAGTGGAGTGCTGAGCTGTATTTGAGAGGCATTTTATTATTCTGGTGTTATTGAAAGTATTAAATAAGGGCAAAGTACTTTTTCCAACGTCTTTCCAAACATTTCTTTGGTTTGTGTTTAAGAGTCTTAGAGATTTCAAGCTTTAATTCATCACTGTGATACCAGTGCAATTTAAAGCAGAAGAAAGAAAAAGGGATGGGTAACGTAAAAATCTGGATCAATATGCTGGTTCTGGGCAATTATCCTGCAAGTTCTGCCAGGTAATGAAAGTGACTAGGGTGCCCATAACCTGGAGGTTTCTTTGTTTTGGAAATAAAACCAAGGAACTTCATAAACCACTAAAGGGAAATTCTATATCTTGGCAAGTAAAATTTTAGATGGAAATTATCTGCTACACCACACTTGTGGGAATTGCTATACTCATTCTACTATTTGCAGCAGGGTTATACATGGTAGCACCTTCTAACTGAAATATTGGACAGAGGGTTTATGTCTTATATTAATATTTGGACCCTGTATACTCAATCCTATAACTCGAATTGTTTCCTCTCACCTAGAAGCAATCAAACTCCAAATGGTGCCTCAGACTGAACCACATATGGACACGCCATTTTTCCAAGCACCCTAGGAGGAACCCTAGCTGCTGTTCCCCATTCGACCCCCTTTTTCAGCAGGAAGTGGCCAAAAAGAGTCATCTCCCAAAACCCACTAACAGCAGTTAGGGCGACATCTCCATAGGTGCGAATATTATAGGAGTTATTAAGAAATTATTTTAGACAGGTAGAGAGGAAAGGGGCCCTTGGGAAGTTTTTGTTTCTTTTAAAGCAGCTCTTAGAGCAGGGCCAGCAAGCTTTGATATGCAAATGCAGGCCATTGGAAACTGGGTCCACCCAAACGTGGCAATTCCTGCCTTCTTCTTCCTTGCCCCGACATGTGCCTGGCAACATAACCGCTCTCACATATCCACAATGTCTGTAGAATATCATGGCACCCTGCATTTGCATGTTAAAAGTCTAGGGTGGCAGGGCCAGGTGTTTCACATGAATGACATGCATGGACAAAGCAATCCCCTGAGCCCTATACAAATCAGACACCACCTCCTCCAGCCTCCTTATATAAGCAGCCACCTTTCCACCACACACAGGGGGTTTTCTGTCTGTTCAAATTCACCCTCCCTCTGTCTCTGTACAGGGGAGCTATTTTCTTCTTCCTTCCTTCTTTCTTGCTTATTAAACTCTCCACTCCTTAAAACCAAAAATAAATACATAAATAAATAAAAATAATAAATAAAGCAGAGGTAAATGGGCTGTGTATGAGTGCTCAAGGTAGTACCTTTATAGAACTAGAAAAAAAAGGAAAAAGAAATCATCCATATTTCAAAGGTAAAGAGGCTGAAATATTTAAGTTCTACTTTTCACAAGATGATAAAGTGTCTTTGGTTGTGCAGGCTGTTGCTTTCAAATCCAAACACGGAGAGAGTACAGGATGGTACATTTGAAGACTGGAGGAGTGTTAGGTGATCTTTTGCCTCCTCTGGATTTGCACTAACCCCAAATTGGATATCCAAAGATTCTGTCACATTAGTTTAAATCTTTGCTTAATTTTACTTTGCTAAGGGGCTATAGGCAGCTGTTTCCCCAGGTAAATCAGTGATGAAGTAAACAGAAAAGTCAAGCGTACTGATTCTCTGCTGATTTGAAGACAAACTCCAAATTATAAAAATTGTTATGAGCCATGATGGAAATCATATTACTTTTACATTTGGTCATATAAGAAGCTGTTTTTATTTCCTAAACCAAAGGCACTGGTGGAAACTACCTGATCCATGAATTTAATATATATTTTTTATTCAGCAATTAAGCACTGAGTTACTACAATGTACTTGGTACTCTTATAAGTTCTGGGGATACAGCAATGAACAAGAAAGTGGTTAGGGCTGTGTTTTCGTGTGTATAGAGGTGATAGAACTTGGATGGTAAATAAATAGACGAGCAGATAGGAAAAGGTACTAAATTGTGAAAAGTACTGAGGAAAGAATGAACCACTGCCTAAGATTTGATTGACAGATAAATTTTAGTTGATATTTAAGTTGAGACCAAGTGGCAAAATAAATCAATGAAAGATTAAGGGGAGCAGTTGGCACATGGGCTTCTGTGTGCTAATGAGGGAGGAATGCCCAGTGTGCCTTTATGGAAGTGGGTGAAAGGAAGAGTGCTAAAGGAAATGCCATGGGTTAACCAGGGAGTAAATCATGTAAGACTTTACAGTCAAGGTAAGGAATCTGGATTCATTCTAAGTGTGATGGGAAGTCACGGAGGGTTTTAAGTAAGGGCGTAACATGGTTTGATTTATAATTTTAAAATACTGTCTTGGCTACTGTACCAATTGTTAGCTAAAGTACAACCAAAAAAATAAGAAAAAATGAGTGGCTATTTCTCTGAAGTGTTCATTCTCTTTTGTTTAGTCTGAAATATATGAGTGCCAATTCTGAGACAAGCACTACTAGTTACAATGTGAGCTAACTCAAACAGTGGTCTTTACTCGCATAGAACTTACTGTCTGAGAAGGGAAATAGACATTAATTTAATAATCATGCCAATAAAATAATAATGAAAAGTCCTCAAAGGAAGAAAACAAGGTTATATCTGACCGTATAATAATGGATCCAAATCTGACTGGGAAGTCACTGAAGGCTTTAAATGGGCTGCAATAAAAAGAATGAATACCAGTCAACTGATTATATTACCTTAAGTGCAATGAAGGTTTTAAACAGGGATGGAGGGGTGAGGGAGTAACATGATTCAATGTGAGTTTTTAAATTTATTTTTTAATTGGCAAAAAAAAATTGTATATGATGTTTGTGGTGTACACCATGACTTTTGAAAAATGTATATGTTGTGGAATGACTAAATCGAGCTAATTAACATATGCATTACCTCACATATTTATCATTTTTTGTGGTGAGAACACGTAAAATCTACTCTCTTAGCAATTTTCAAATATGCAATATATTGTTATTAACTGTAGTCATCATATTGTCCAGTGGATCTCTTGAACTTATTCCTCCTGACTGAACAACGTAAGATTTAAAGTGATCACTCATTCTGGCTTCAGTTGAAGAATGGATAGGAGCAAGAGCAGAATGAAAGTAGAGGAACTTGTTAGGAGGTCCACTAATAGTAGGTAAGGACCGAGTGAAGGTAACAATAAAAAGAAAAACTGATTCCATGGATATTGAGATGATAAAGGTAATTAATTGGCCTTGGTGATGGATTAGATAGGCAGAGTTAGGGATACAGTAGGAGAGTACCTGAGCAAATGAATAAATGAAGATTTTGTTTACTATGAGACGGAATAATGAAAGAGGACAAGGATAGAAGAGGAAGACCACAAATATGGTCATGTATGTCATGAATTAATGATATCTTGAAAATATGCAAGTGATAGGTCAAATCAGTAGTTGGATCAACTAGCCCAGAGAAGAGCTCTGGGCTAGAGAAATAAATCTGAACACCACCACAGTAATTAGAACTGTGGATGTGTTTAAGTCTCTCAGTGAGAGACTATAACAGAAAAAGTTATTTTAAGGCTTCAAAAATCTACAGGATTTGGTGACCCAGTAGAAAAGGAACTGCTTGCAAGAGAAACCAAAACGGCATGGTCAGAGAGGTGGCATTTCAAGAATGCCAAATAATATCAAATAATTATCAGGAACTACAAAGATTCTGTGAGTTTTCACCATCTGCAAGCTAATAAGTTAGTCTGTTACTATTTTAGCAAAGCTGTCAGAAAACACATGACTCTTGGTTCAGAGACAAAGGACTGCATTATTCATAGCACAAACAGTAGTTCAGAGGGCAACATGATGCTTGCATGGGTTCCCCCATCCTCCAGGTCCATGGAATAACACAAAGTGCCCATAATGGATGCCTGCACATGCAGTGGGTTGCATTACTGGAGGGAAACTTAGGAAGTTTGGAAGATTCACCACTTATATGGTAAAGTGGAAACAAGTATGTGGTTTTTCTTTTGGAAAATGCTACCTTATTTCTCAGGGTTGCTTGCTGGAAATACAACCCAGAGAAATGGCCCAAGTAAAGTATAGCAAGGGCTTTGCTTTCACAGCATGCCCAGGAAGAACATACAGGGATGCTTAAGGCCCCTTGTAGATTGCTTCTTTGAACAATGATCCTGAAGAGATAAGCAAATTGAGGACAGGAAAAATCTTGAATTTAGCAAAATGGAGATCATTGTTAACCTTATTAAGAGCTGTTTTGTCAGAGTGATGTAATGTAAAAACATACTACAGTGGGCTGAAAAGTGAATGTGAGGCCAGGCGCAGTGGCTCACGCCTATAATCCCAGCACTTTGGGAGGCTGAAGCAGGTGGATCACAAGGTCAGGAGTTCAAGACCATCCTGGCCAACATGGTGAAACCCTGTCTCTACTAAAAATACAAAATTAGTTGGGTGTGGTGGCGTGTGCCTGTAATCCCAGCTACTTAGGAGGCTGAGGCAGGAGAACGGTTTGAACCCGAGAGGTGGAGGTTGCAGTGAGCTGAGATTGTGCCACGTGCACTCCAGCCTGGGCAATAAGAGCAAAACTCCATCTCAAACAAACAAACAAAAAAAAGTTTTTGCCAAAAAAAAAAAAAAAGAAAAGAAAAGAAAAAAGAAAAGTGAATGTGGGATATGAGAGAGAATAGAGACCACAAACATAGAATAGTTGCTTTTTTTTTTTTTTTTTTTAAGAAGTGCAATTGTAAGGTGATAAAAATAGAAATATCTTTAGGTGGGATATTGAAATGAGAGAAGATATTTTTGTTAGTCATTGGGTTATGTTTAAAAACTAATGGAAATGATCAAATGAAATGGTCTACAAACATCAGAATATAAATGGCTATTATATGTTCATTAACCCTGGATATGACATTGTTATAGATTGAATTGTGTTCTCTCAAAAGACAAAAAAAAGGATGTTTAAGCCCTAATCCCCAAAGTGCTACAAATGTGACCTTATTTGGAAGTAGGATCTTTGAAGATGATCAAGTTATAATGAAGTCATTACAGTTGGCCCTTATCTAATGTGACTATATCCTTATGAAAGGGGAATTTTGGACACAAAGACAGACATACAGAGAGGATGCTGTGAAGACACTGGAAGCCAAGGAACCCCTGAGGCTACCAGAAGCTTGGAGAGAGTGATGAAACTCACAGCCCTCTGAAGGAACCAACGCGGTTGACATCTTGATTTCAGACTTCTAGCTTCCAGAACTGTGCAAGAATACATTTTTGTAGTTTAAGCCACCCTGTTTGTGACACTTCGTTACAGCAACCCTAAGAAGCTTATACTACAGACATTGTTCTCAGAAAGACCAAATACTGATAACAAGAAATAAAAAAGCAAGCCTTAAAATCTTTAGAGCAGCCTTTATTTCACTGCACTTCCGCAGGACATTGATCACAGCAAATTTTTTTTTTTTAACAGGGTCTGACTCTGTTGCCCGGGCTGGAGTGCAGTGGCATGATCTTGGCTCACTGCAACCTCTGCCTCCCAGGTTCAAGCGATTCTCCTGCCTCAGCCTCCCAAGTAGCTGAGATTACAGACGTGCACCATCATGCCCGGCTAATTTTTTGAATTTTTAGTATAGACGGGGTTTCACCATGTTGGCCGGGCTGGTTTTGAACTCCTGACCTCAAGTGATCTGTCCGCCTTGGCCTCATAAAGTGCTAGGATTACAGGCGTGAGCCACCACGCCCGGCTGCAAATGTCTTTTTTCAGGAGTGTATAATGTTGAGAGCACTACTTAAATGTTCATTCTTAGAAAAACCTCAAAAAGGGAAGTAAAAGAAGAGGGAATAAAAACTCTTTAAGAAAATATTCTCTTAGCAAAATGAGAATTCAATATGTTAGCCTAATTAATAGATATTCCATTATCAAACACTTTGCATTTGTTAATAAAATACTTCAAAAGAAAATGGGAAATACAATTTCTTTTAAGTATATAAGAAAATGATTAGAATGGTAGAGTGGCTTTGTGAAATGGTCTAAGCTGATTTGTAGAGCAGGAAGCTTAAGCAATGGTTCCTCCAGACTTTAAAAAAAATTACCTAACCACTATGGTTTTACATCTTCTCATCTGCACATAAAGAGTTCTATTAGATTACTTCCCCCAGAATGACTATGGGAATTATTTTAACAACATATGTTTCTAGTATAAGTGTCTGTTCTTGTGTAAATTGAATGTAACACCTAACTGAGGCATTCTTGATGTTGAAATTATTTCTGTTTACTTACCAGTAATGTTTGTTCTTATAGTTATATATAATTCGTATTCTTTTAACACAGATTCCAAGCTTTTTCATACTTTTTTAAATTCCAGTTTCCCTGAGAATGTATTTTGGGGTCTACCTTGGATGCCCTCTTTAATTCTTTCAGAGGTAATGTTCATGCATTCACATGGGTCCTGCTTATAGCTCATTAAAGGAAGCACACATCTGCACCTACTGCCTAACAAAGACTCTCCAGTGGGCCAACTAGAGTCAATCTTCCAGAAGTTTAATGTAGATCAGGTTCTACAATCTCTGGCTCCAAAACATTTTCTCTATTTTATAGTAATATTGATAACTATTATTGTTATTACTTTGAGGAAGTGAAAATATCTCATACTTCTGCTGGCTAAAGAGTCTTTGAAATATTTCCGCAATGCCTACAGGGTTAGATATTAATAAGCTTCTACTTGTAACAAAATTGAGACACAAGTTAAAGACTCTGACCACGTGATCAGAGAAATATTCCAGCAACATCAAAGGTAAACAGGACTCTCACAGATAAGCCAAAAGGACACATAATTATTTGAGCAAATGGAGAAGAACAATTTGTTCAAGTTGTTGAAGTCATTTCAGATTATTGCCAAGAATTCTCAGAATATCCTCTGAATGTATACTTCTGTGCTGAAAACAAAACCACATGCTCATAGGAAATGTCACAATTAAGAATCTTGTTTACCTAGCTGTTTAAAAAAACATGCCAGGGTAGGCAATGAAGGTTACATCCTCACTGTGCAGGTCAGTGCTTATCAAATCAAAATGGTTCAACCACCTAAAAAAAAAAATCTTCATACAAAGGACGAAATAGCAGGCATACCAGCCTAGCTTTGCACGCTGGCTATGTGCACACTGTACCTCCAAAAACAGCCTCTGGTCATAATAGTTCTGGAAATATGTTGTGGCTTTTTTCAAGATAAATAAAACATGAAAAGTGAATTTGTTTATAAAAATAAACCCATCTTAACTTTTCATTTATACTAGCATGCTTTTATATGATGGCTTGCCCTTCAAAAAATTGGAGCTTACCTTGAAGATCTCTGCAATATCAAGGTCTTAAGTTCCTAAGAGTAAGTTTTATCTTTGTTATTATTATCATTTAAAAGCTATTCAGTGTATTAGCAACTAGAGATGTAATTATCTTACATCTCTAGTTGCATACACAAACTTTCAGTATAAGTTTATAGTCTCTATTAAATTGTTTTAATTATATGCATTTGAGTATAAATAAAAACATAGAAACTTATCTAAATATTTTTCCCCCTGTATCAGCAGCTAGGCTTTGAGGTCAGGGAGAGAAAGGAGTGATATTCTATATGAAAAATAATCAAGATACTTTGAAAAAAAACTTTTCTCAGTTCAGTACCCTAGAGATTACATTTAATGTTCTTTCTTAAATTTAACTCTCTATGAAATTGAGAGATTAAAGTACTATGTCTAGTATCAGTTATTTTCTAATAGCCCAGCACATTCTCAAGAGAAAAACATACTATTAAAATTATAAAGGATATTTATAATGTTTATTTTAAAATGGTTAATGCTCCTTTTAAATGCATGATTTTTAATACTTAATTGTGTTTATTTTTACTATAAATATACTCTATTAGTTTGTTCTCACACTGCTAAAAAAGACATACCTGAGACAGAGTAATTTATATAGGAAAGAGGTTTAATTGACTGACAGTTCAGCATGGCTGAGGAGGCCTCAGTAAACTTACAATCATGGTGGAAAGGGAAGCAAACATATCCTTCTTCACATGGCAGCAGCAAGGAGAAGTGCCAAGCAAAAGAGGGGAAAGCTCATCAGATCTTATAAAACATCATATCTCACAAGAACTCACTATCATGAGAACACCATGAGGGTAACTGCTCCCATGATTCAATTACCTCCCACCAGGTTTCTCCCACGACACATGGGGATTATGGGAACAATTCAAGGTAAGATTTGGGTGGGGACACAGCCGAACCATATCATATACTCTAAGTATATTAAAATAATATTTACAATATAATTCTATTATGAATTTTTGGAATATAGCTGAGGACTATATTATATCTCCTTTGATATAATGAAGGTAATATATTGTCCTGGTTATATTTTTCAGGATTGTGATCTATCTCTCACATTTTTTTATTGATTAAAAAATTAAAGACAGGAGGAAGGAGCCGTTAAAATCCAATATATATTTTCCTAACCTTCACATATGAAAAGGAATCAGAGATGACAACCCTCATATGGCATCAAGAATATTCAGCAATTATTTGAAAATGAAAAACTCTAATTTAGGAAAATAAAATGGCTGGAACAGAGTTGAATGCTGTCTAAATAATAGTGAAATTGAAACTGGAAAAGATAGAAAAATATAATAGCAGACAGCAGAGTAGAGAAACATTGGGCCCATATCCAAAGCATGGGAAATGTCACCTACTAAGACAGTCAGATTATATATCAGAAAATGTGCAAAGCTTTGGGTATTTCAGATAAATGTCTCGGGATTAGGCTTCCATGACAAGTTACAGTGCAATGAACCTGAGAGTGTGGATAAGAAAATTGCCATTTTTCCTTTTTACAAAAATACGGACTTGTCATCGATTTTAAGTTTTTGCCACTGGGATTTTTAAAACATAATAAATGCCACTGGGATTTTTAAAACATAATAAATGCCACTGGGATTTTTAAAACAAAGCTTAGTAACTAACTATACAGGGATTAAAATTAATAGGATTACATAGTTTTTTAACAAATAAGAATTGTGGGTTACAGCTGTATAGTACCCCTTCAACATAGTTGTATTGGTAGAAGCCATATACATTCCAGCCATTGTGCTAGGGCTCAAAATACTCTGAAAATATCTTCTAAGTTTGTAACCTTTTTTTTTGAATACCTTGAGTGGTGACAAACTTCCTTTTGAAGGTGTGTTTGATCTTTTAAAACAACTATATAAATACACTTAATAGTTTAAAACAAGTATATACAAAATAACTTTTTTAATATTGAGTCCTCACCATTACTTCTTCATTCCCTTTCTTATCTTTACCTTCCTTCATTCAAATAGTGAACTAAATATTCTCAAACCTGGCTGCACTACAGGGCTTTTAAAAAATACTCTTGCTTACAGTGTACCTCTGGGGTAGGGCCCACACTGTGGTATACTTCAGAAACTCCCTCAGATATTTATTTTGTGCAGCCAGTGTTGAAAAAAAAACTGAGATAGACAGTTTTTTACTTATTGCCTTAAGGAGGTTATATGGTAGGACAGAATAAAGAAAAATCTTGAGTCTCTGCCTGTCTTTGTGCTTAGAAAGTCTATAACCTTGAGGGAAAGTTTGAAGGTTTAAAGAGGTTCTGTTGCCACTGAATTGGGAAAAGACAGGAGAAAGATGAAGGGATATCAGGAAGAGAGAGCTAGGACAAAAGAACACAGGGGAGATATCTTAGAGCCAAAGGAAAATGTAAGGAGTATTGATCCAGCATTAGGGAGCTGGATCACTACCTAATGGTCACTTAACTCAGCCTCAGTAGAGGATCCCAGCTCCACATAAGTGAATGCAGTTCATTGCCCCCACCAGGGATTATAGTAGCTGTTTTGTCTTAGTATGTCCACTGACAGCTCTCCTTTTGTGGCTCACCACACTTCTCCTGGATGCTACCAGCTAGGATGTGGCCAGATATACCTTGAAAGTTTGGATCTACTTGTAAACCCAAGAGAATTGAATTTATTCATCTTTTCCTTCAGAATTACTTAGGTCAAACCTTCAAAAGGAGGCAATGGGAAAAAAAAATTGCAATTTGGGGGACATATTATGAAGATTTTTGTTTGTTTCTTTCTTTAAACCATATAGCCAGTAAAATGCTTTATATTTATTCAGTGTTTATATTACAATAGATTACCTAGAATCATCCTTAGTAGCACAACAGAACAAACCCTGAACCAATTTTTTGGCCTATGAAATCTCTGCCATTTGGGAACTGAGTTTTATGCCGGTTGGCTTCCAAACCAGAGCTTGCAATGTCAGGCAGTACTTTGGGGAAACAGCTGCATACAGATCACTCTGAAACCCTCATAAAAATATATGGTACCATCACTTTTTTCTTTTTAAAAATGTTTTATGGGATCCCCCATAGTATCTTTTGCTAGTCTTGCTGTAAAAATAATGTTTATAGTGATTGAATATACTTTCAGTAAATAGCTTCTGTGGCTATCAAATGACTGTTTCTCTTTTGCATTTAATCACCTGGGAGGAAAGAAATGATAGCAAACAGATTTCACTGTCTTAAACAATATTTGTTAAGAAAAGACTTTTGCCCTGGAGCATCTTACTCAAAAAGTAATTTCCTGGTCACTGCTTTGGAGCTATTGCCTTATTATTTAAGATTTTCCTGTTTAGC
Organism: Homo sapiens; assembly: GCF_000001405.40. Lineage (NCBI taxonomy): Eukaryota > Metazoa > Chordata > Mammalia > Primates > Hominidae > Homo > Homo sapiens. The sequence continues at coordinate 105,144,988 of NC_000003.12, forward strand.
CTGAATCAGCTTTTTTTTTCTTCCTTCTCTGGCCTCTATCTACCTAGTCCTGAAATGACGTCATACTCTCTTAACATAAAAGTAAGTGAACAACATTCTCAATTTCTATTTGAGGCTAACCAGCCTCAAATATTCCTGTGCTGGTGATGTCTTGAGTATCTTATTTTATATTAGTAAGAGTCCAGAGACCTTTCAGTAAAATGTAGATTCATGTGAATCTATGTGGATCAACTTCACTATGTGAATTTTGAAATAAAACTTATTCTAAGCAGTCTTAGAAATTTGTTACCCAGAATTAAAATGTGATATATCTCTGAAATTAATTTTTAAGTAAATTGACACTAAAAGTTAAATAATCCATTTTAGTAGCTTTAATATGTAAAGCTGTGATATTTTGATATAATAAGAAATACATATTTGGCTTCTGCCCTGACTTCTAACCTAGATCTCATAAAACCCTTGTAGATAAGGGTGCTAGGAGAATCTTTTTTTCAATATTTGATCTTTGACCCAGTTCTTAATACAGAACTCCTAATACCTTTGTAGTTTCCTGAGTGATAGAAGTATCTGACATAGACTCCTAAATCCCTTGGAACTTGCTGGGTAATAAGAACATCTTTGTTCTAATGAGGCAATTATTGTGGCAGGCTCCTGGATAGCTTCAGGATGGGGGCTGGTTGCCAGGGGAACCAACCATGTGATTAGAGGATTGGAACTCTCAGCTCCATGCCCCATCCACCGGTAGCTAAAGGTCCAGTTGTTCCTCAATGGCCAGTGATGTAATCAGATCATGCCTTTGTAATGAAGCTTCATACCCCTTCCCTTCCAGACCTCCACCTATATATCTTTTCATCTGGCTTCTGTATGTTTCCTTTCTAATATCCTTTATAATAAATGGGTAAGTGTAAGTAAAGTGTTTCTCTAAGTTCTGTGAGCTGCTCTAGCAAATTAATTGAACTTAAGGAGGGGACTGTAGGAACACTGATTTCTAGCCAGTTGGTCAGAAACCCAAGTTACAACCTGGGGGCTTGCAACTGGCATCTGATGTGATTGCAGTCTTGTGGAACTGAGCCCTCAACCTGTGGAATCTGACGCTATCTCTCAGTAGATAGTGTCAGAATCGAGTTAAATTATAGGACAATGTATTGGTGTCCACTGAACTGTTTGACATACATCTGTGGTCAGAAGTGTTACATTGTGAGGTGTATGAGAACAGAAAAAAAAAACACTAGTTTTTATCTATCTCTTACAAAGGTTTAATTAAGATTTCATATCTTTTTATAAGTTCCAGTAATAAGTTCCAGTGACAATAATGTAACTGCAACAAGAATTTTGTTATTTTATGCAAAGTTGATTAAATACTATCAATCATTCAATGGCAAAAATTGAATTATAAGAAAATATTTCTAAGAAGAACTCAAGCATAGCAAAGTGAAATATAAAATAAATTATAATTTCCTGAGAACTAACTTGGCATTGTAAAGAATGCTGTTAATATATAAGAATATTTAAATGAAAAGAGAATATCACTAATAAATTTAATCTCTGTAATTCTAATCTTTTGATTATTTGGTTGTTTCTACTACTTTTTTGTACCAGATGTTCTGTAAATACATTCTCAGGATAAGTTAAAATTCTACCAGGAAAAAGAAAATCATAAGAAAATTATTTTATTTATTTTTTAGAAATATTTGTGTACAGCAGGATAATTTCACAGACTAATTTATTCTGATCCTGGCTCCTCCTAACTGTTATTCAGCTATAAAAACTAGGTCCTCATTTTGACTAAAGTTTGTCAAATATTAATAGTAGAAACAATAATGACAATCAATCGATTCACCATGAGAACATTTATTACTTTTAAGAATACGTGTAACAATACACCAATATACAGTATTACATGTAATCAGAGTTGAATCCAGGGTAATTGTGACCTCTGAAAATGGAATTATCTTACCCAGCACCTCATTCTTTTTGCCTTTGCTGCAACATTTAAGTTTTGACATTCTGTCTTAAGAGAATAGCAAAGAGCTGGCACTCTGTAGTGGCGACCCTAGCAGCTCTTACCAGTTGTATGGCTTCTGCAGATGAACAAGGCTATACTCAATAGAGTCCCTTGTCACATTTCATTCGTATGGTATATTTGCTCCTCTAATCTCTAGCTAGCAAGGAAAGGTATTAAGGCCATCAGTGCACCAGTCTCCAGGGAGTAAGGAAAGCCAAAGATTAGCAACTGCCATTTAAAATATTGATTGGGTCACAAATGGACCTGGAAAGCAAGGAGTTAGAAGTAACAGGAACCAGAGAGGTTAGAGAAAATAGATCTCTATTTTAATATATTCTGATAACATAAAGAAGAGGGCCTGAGAACCAAATTCATTTTTCAAATTCATTATGGCTTTCTTTTTCTTTTTCTTTTTTTACATCATAGTATTTTATAATGACAAGTGTGTGTGTTTATTTGTGTGTGTGTGCGTTTGTGTGTATGTTGTGTTTAAAATACAGGTGCTTGACAGATTATTATGCTGATCAAATATGACCACTATTTTAAAAAGATATTAGTCAAGTTACTGGCATATATTTTAATACAAACTGAAACTCAGACTTTAGGAGCCTGCTGTGTTTATACAGCACAATTGTATTAGTCCATTTTCATGCAGATGATAAAGACACACCCGAGACTAGGAAGAAAAAGATGCTTAATTGGACTTACAGTTCCACGTGGCTAGAAAGGTCTCAGAATCATGGCAGCAGGCAAAGGCACTTCTTACATGGCAGCAGCAAGAGAGAAATGAGGAAGAAGCAAAAACAGACACCCCTGATAAACTTTAAGTGCCTGCTATGTTTATACAACATAATTGTATTTGTCTGTTTTCACGCAGCTGATAAAGACATACCTGAGACTGGGAAGAAAAAGAGGTTTAATTGGACTTATAGTTCCACACAGCTAGGAAGGCCTCAGAATCATGGCAGGAGGTGAAAAGCACTTCTTACATGGCAGTGGGAAGAGAAAATGAGGGAGAAGCAAAAGTGGAAACCCCTGATCAACCCATCAGATCTCACTATCATGAGAATAGCATGGGAAAGACTGGCTCCCATGATTCAATTACCTCCTCCTGGGTCCCTCCGTCCCATAACACATGGGAATTCTGGGAGATGCAATTCAAGTTGAGATTTAGTAGGGACACAGCCAAACCATATCATTCCACCCCTGCCCCTCCAAATCTCAAGTCCTCACATTTCAAAGCCAACCATGCCTTCCCAATAGTCCCCCAAAGCCTTAACTCATTTCAGCATTAACTCAAAAGTCCACAGTCCAAAGTCTCATCTGAGACAAGGTAAGTCCCTTCCACCTATAAGCCTGTAAAATCAAAAGCAAGCTAGTTACTTCCTAGATACAATGCAGGTACAGGTATTGATAAATACAGCCGTTCCAAATAGGATAAATTGGCCAGAAAAGGGGGTTACAGGGCCCTTGCAAGGCTGAAATCCAGTGGGGGAGCCAAACATTTTTTTATTTTGAGGTGGAGTCTTGCTCTGTCACCCAGGCTGGAGTGCAGTGGCATGATCTCGGCTCACTGCAAGCTCCGCCTCCCAGGTTCACACCATTCTCCTGCCTCAGCCTCCAGAGTAGCTGGGACTACAGGCACCTGCCACCACACCTGGCTAATATTTTTGTATTTTTAGTAGAGACGGGGTTTCACCGTGTTAGCCAGAATGGTCTCGATCTCCTGACTTCATGATCGGCCTGCCTCAGCCTCCCAAAGTGCTGGGATTACAGGTGTGAGCCACCACACCCAGCTGGGGCAGTCAAACTTTAAAGCTCCAAAATGATCTCCTTTGACACCAGGTCTCACATCCAGGTTACGCTGATGCAAGAGGTAGGTAGGTTCCCATGGTCTTGGGCAGCTCAGCCCCTGTGCCTTTGCAGGGTAGAGCCTCCCTCCCAGCTGCTTTCAAAGGCTGGAATTGAGTGCCTGTGGCTTTTCCAGGTGCATGGTTCAAGCTGTCGGTGGATCTACCATTCTGGGGTCTGGACGACAGTGGCTCTGTTCTCACAGCTCCACTAAGCAATGCCCCAGTGGGGACTCTGTGTGGGAGCTCTGACCCCACATTTCCCTTCTGCACTACCCTAGCAGAGGTTCTCCATGGGGGCCCTGTCCCTGCAGCAAACTTTTGCCTGGGCAACCAGGCATTTCCACACATCTTCTGAAACCTAGGCAGAGGTTCCCAAACCTCAATTCTTGACTTCTGTGTACCTACAGACTCAATACCACATGGAAGCTGCCAAAGCTTGGGGCTTCCACCCTCTGAAGCCCCAGCCCAAGCTGTACATTGGCCCCTTTCAGCCATGGCTGGAGGGGCTGTGACACAAGTCACCAAGTCCCTAGGCTGCACACAGCATGGGGACTCCGAGCCTGGCCCACAAAATCACTTTTTCCTCCTGGGCCTCCAGGCCTGTGATGGGAGAGGCTGTCATGAAGGTCTCTGACATGGCCTGGAGACATTTTTCCCATGGTCTTGGAGATTCACGTTAGGTTTCTTGTTACTTATGCAAATTCCTCCCCAGAAAATGGGGTTTTCTTTTTGACTTCATCATCACGCTGCAAATTTTTTGAACTTTTATCCTGTTTCCCTTTTAAAACTGAATGCCTTTAACAGTACCCAAGTTGCCTCTTGAATGCTTTGCTGCTTAGAAATTTCTTTGGCCAGATACCCTAAATCATCTCTCTCAAGTTCAAAGTTCCACAAATCTCTAGGGCAGGGGCAAAATGCCACCAGTCTCTTTGCTAAAACATAACAAAAGTCACCTTTACTCCAGATCCCAACAAGTTCCTCATCTCCATCTGAGACCACCTCAGCCTGGATTTTATCATCCATATCGCTATCAGCATTTTGGGCAAAACCATACAACGAGTCTCAAGGAAGTTCCAAGCTTTCCCATATTTTCCTGTCTTCTTCTGAGCCCTTCAATCTGTTCCAGTCTCTGCCTGTTACCCAGTTCCAAAGTTACTTCCACATTTTCAGGTATCTTTTCAGCAATGCCCTACTCTACTGGTACCAATTTACTGTATTAGTCCATTTTCATGCAGCTGATAAAGGCACACCTGAGGCTGGGAAGAAAAAGAGGTTTAATTGGACTTACAGTTCCACATGGCTGGGGAGGCCTTAGAATCATAGTGGGAGATGAAATGCACTCCTTAAATGGTGGCAGCAAGAGAAAATGAGGAAGAAGCAAAAGCGGAAACCCATGATAAACCCAGCAGATCTCATGAGACTTACTCACTATCATGAGAATACCATGATTAAATTACCTCCCCCTGGGTCCCTCCGACCACAACACGTGGGAATCCTGGGAGATACAATTCAAGTTGAGATTTGGTGGGGACACAGCAAACCACATTAACAATCAACATTGTCATACTTAGTTACAAAATAATTCTTTGGAAGGGCAACACAATGCCAATTATCAATCTGTTTCCAAGTCGATGTTTCAGTGTCCAAAGTATACTTTAGGGAAGAGTGAGTTTTGTCATAGGAATGTGCTTTCAAACTGTACTCAAGAATAATGACTGTGTTATGGTTTTTTACCCTTCAAGATTAAACAATATCTACTAAAAATAGAGGAATGAATACAGGCTAGTTGTTAAAAGAATATACAGCTCAGGGTTCAAAGCAGTCCGGAGTTGATAAATTGACATTTTAATATCACCAATACGGATAGTAGCAAGTATGCTATGAAACACACAAATGAGCTATATTTTCCATTCCAACACTAACACATAACTTCTTACATAAGTTGTATCCTCCAAGCCAATCAAATAATGATATATAGCCAGTAAAGACTTCCCACTAAGATCAGTACTCATGAAACGCAAATATTTTTCTTTAGTTAAAAAAAGAGAACATAGCTACCAAAGCAAACTCCAATTTTGTTATACTGTTGCATACACTAATACTCAGCTAAGCGTAACTGGCTTCTGTAAACTTGCATTTTTCTTTAATCTACTATGTTCGGGAAGGATCAGCAACAATCATGTATCAAATTATCATCAATAAGTGTTGCTAGAAAGTCCACTGGCTATGCAAACAGCAACACTGGTTGATGATAATTTGGAAATACCACTGTTAGTGATCTTTGCAAACACAGAAGATGGTTCTGAGGTGGATACAGATTGGGGTTTAAGTTCCTACAGGAAATGGCATTTCTTAGTTAGAGATCAGATAATAAAGGTTATTCTAGCCACTTTAAGTTTAGCAGATATGTTATAAAAGATTACTTAAATGTGTGAAGTTTCAGGTGTATTATTGTTATATTTTAACCTCACAAAACTCTGTAAGGAAAGCAAGGCACCCAATGCACAGGTGAACAAATTGAGTCTCAGAGGCATTTGGTGATTTGCTTAAGGTCCCCAGATTTTTCAGTGTTGTAGGTCATTTGAACCCAGGTCATAATGCAACAAACTTGCAAAAATGTAACATGATGACAGTCATTACTCTGTGTGTGTGTGTGTGTGTGTGTGTGTGTGTGTGTGTGTGTGTGCTTGAGAATAATAGAGGGAATAATAGCAAGAAAAACAAAACAAAACAAAACAAAAAAACTCTGGTTATTTTCTCTGAGCCCCTGTTTACTCCTTCTTATAAATAGTGGAAAAACTTACTGGCTCAGTGAGTTTGAGATAAAGGGCACTCCTCATGTCTGGCCAAGAATGTTGACTGTTGCTTCTCTCTGGAATTCACCTGCCTGTAAGGAATGCCCTCTTCTTCCTATTCTTGTCCTGTCTGCTCAAACGACAGTAGAGCATGTTATTTTTCAACTCTTTCTGTCTGTATCCCAACTCAAATAATCTTGAACGATGAGGTCCTCCACACAACTGGTTAGATAAATATCTGTTTTGTCCCCATCTCTCCATGGGCAAGTCTTATGCCTTAAATTTTAAGGGAGAACTAGTAAGAAGTAATATGCTAACTTCAAACAAGAACTTCATTCTGCAATCCCATTTTTCTGCCAATAAAGGTAATATTTTGTCATACGTATATAGTCTCACAGTCTTTAACATGACTCTAGGAAGCCACTACCTATTAATTAGAATTGTCACTTCAGTTGAAATCTATTTGTCAATTCTTCTCTAGGTCTTACTTTTCCTTTGAGGACCATCTTATTTTTACCTGTTTTAATCAGACTTTCCACAAATTACTTCAGTTTATTTTAACTTCTCACTACTAAATTCTGGTGACCTTCATCAGCTCTACCACCTGTTTAGTACTTAGTACATGCTAGCTCATAATGGGAGCTATATTTTCCAATACATCTTTTCATTTCCTAGATAAATCCTAAGCCCATTCAGGGGAAGTCTGACCTTCTTGCTCTCTATAGCAATTTCTTTATGGCTTCAGAGACTGACATTCCAAGCTCAATTACTACTCCCTAATATTAATGATAAGATTCTTAAAAAATTAACGTGACAGATAATGTGAATATGTTAATTATGTGTTGAATCATGCTTAATCCATTTATACACACATACATACACATTATATTTATATACTAATATACACTCTAATTTACTACATACTTTGGTAAGGTCATTCTACTTCAAGTTGATTTCCTTTCCTCTCATTAACATGAAAATATTAATGCTTCACATTTTCCAGATTTCATGAGAATAGTACAGAGCTTAGGGGATTTTCAGAAATATTTTGTGTTCTTCAAAAGGAGGCTGTTTAAATAATCACAAATCTTTGTCATTCATTAAAATATTAAGAGGCTAATACTACCTAGGAAGGACTAATATGTAAGCTAATTGGTCAATGAATTTAACATGTGAGCTAATTGGTCAATGAATTTAACATGTGAGCTAATTGGTCAATGAATTTAATATGTCTTAGAAATCTAAAAATTTAGCCAACATAAGGCATATCATTGCAATAACTTCTTCCTCAGTGGTTGTTTTTGCAAATAGGCCTATTAAATTTATTTGAACTCTTTAAGAGAGTTTCTATGGAATAGAGAATTTATTCTTTAATTTGCATTAGAACAGGATAAAAGAAATTTGTGCCATAAAGGCATAATGGGGTGCATTTTTACATGTTGACAGAATGAGCTTCTACATCTAGAATCTAGACAGAATTTAATATGCAAAGTCCACAGCAAATAGAAGAAACAAAAATAGTTATCGCCACCCTTGTTATATTTAACTTGCATATTTACTGATGACATAAATTCTTCTAGTGCAAACATTGAAGAAATTCTGTCCAAAGTTAACTTTATACCTGAAAAGCCAACAGAGTAAACTCCCATAATTTTTTTAATCAAAAAATTAGCAAATTTTTAATGTAATATCAGAAAGGGGAAAAAAACTCAAAATTTTAAAGCACTGCTGAAAAAGTTACAGAAGTTTCCCCCTAGGTCCATGTAACCTAATTGTTTTTGGAGCATGACCATACAGATGCATAGAAAAATACTGGCAAAATCAAGAGAACCTCAATAAACCCACAAATTTCATTAGAGAAGTTGGGGTAAAGGAAATATCTTTTGTTATATCAAGGACATTTTTTGGTGAGATCTAAGTCACTTACTTATTCATAGATTCATGATCTGCTTATATCTAGGTCTAATATTCACCTGCCTCTGAGGTGTTACCTTCTGCCTCTTTGCTTTCATTTTAGCAGCTTTTAAATCAGTTCCTCCCCGCTAATTGTCCAAACCAGTCCTCACCCCTCTGAACACAAACAAAAGTGTGCTAATTTTACTCAAAGTCATTCTGTTGTTAAAATGTTCTCAGCCTGTTTTCCCTCCATGTCTTCCCTCCCTTTCAATGCAATTACCTTTTTTAGCTACAATTAGCTTCCAGGGAGCACCTACTATGTGGCAAGCATTCTGAGTACTTTACACAGACTCATATCCTCACATGCACATATGTAAGTATATTACATACACATGCACATACTCTCATAAACATATATTCATAATCACATTCACAATTATAATCACATACTTCAACTCAATCACATACTCATAAACATGGGCAGGAAAACATATACGTGCTCAAATATATATGTATTCACATGATCACATACACAATAATATGTACATACACAATCACACACATATGTACAATCACACGTACATACAAAATCACACACCTATGTGAAATCATTTACTTATACATAGTCACATACACAATCATATACAATACACATTACATCCTCCTAAAAATCCTATAAGTTTGGGTCCCATTATTATCATGTTCATTTTTCAAATGAGGAAATGAGGTACAAAAGTTGTATGAAATTATTCTGCTTGTAAGTGATAAAGCCTATATTTGAAATGTGGGGAATCTGACTCCAGAGTCCATGTTCTTAATCAAAATGTTATACGTTTCGGCACCGAAACATTTTCTTTGGTTTTTAATACTAGTAACTGTTTTCCCTGTCCACTACTTTGTGTTTAGCCTATAATAATTCATTGTCTGCATTATCTTTTTAACCGTGTTGTTTCGTTCCAAGTTATGACCTTCTAGATGGCTCCAGGGGTCTAAATATAATTCCCTTTATAAATTTTCCTGCATTTGTAAAGAAAGTGTATTTTCTCCACTACTACAAATTCATATAAATTAATCTGAAGGTTAAATATTTTTTAAATTAATATTTTACAAATTTCTAAATATTAAATGATAACTATGTGTTCACATGTTTTTGTGGTTTTCATTATATTCTAGCTTCATCTTTTTCCTTTTCTCATTTCATTCTATCATCTGTGGTATTCTCCCTCACTTTTTGCATCTCCACTTCTCATAGTCTCTCTTATTCCTTTTACTCAAGCATAGGAACATAGAACAAATAATATTGTCTCAGAGGGATCATGTCCACCCTGAATGTTTGGATTCTGTGTCTGGTCTGATTGATCAACACTGACAAGAAAAGCCAGACCAACCAGTTCCTGGAATATGTGGCCTAGTTAGACCAAAAATGTTTAATATGCATCTTTAAAAATTTTTATTATTTTTTAATTTTATTTTTTGATTTACATATAATTGTACCTATTCATGGGATACAGAGAGATGCTTTGATACATATAATATATAGTGATCAGATTAAGGGTAATTAGTATATTCAGCACTAAAACACTTATCATTCCTTTGTGTTGGGAATTTTAAAAGATCCTGCTTATTAATAACTTGCTAATTTACTTGTTTGTCTTAATTTTACGTATGTATAAATTTACCTAATGTTAGAGTATTAGATAGGCAATGCTTTAGAATATATTTCCTAGCAATAAGAACTTAAATTATATCAATTTTTAAAAGTCTGTTTATTGGGGAAGGAAACTATGTATTTCATGAAAGCAAGAAGCTATCAGATAAACAATTGGTAAACTCAGAGAAATATGAAAAAGCACAAGTCCGTGGCCAGTTTCAACTATTCCTCAGAAATGTACATTCCTGTAAAAATAGACCATATGCTCAAGTAATATTATTCACTTCATCCTCCAGTCCTCCTCTCAAAACCCTATTTTATAGACCAAGAAATCAATGTACTGAAGATTATATATACCAAGTTAATTTTTAAAAAGTCATCTATCTCAAATATTCATGTCATTATAGATAAATTTTTTCCATGCTACTTACAAAGAGAATCTTGCCTTAAAATAATTACTTAGATCCACTTTCTCTAAGAAAAATAAAAATCCACATATATTTAATTTTAAAAATATATAAATATAAAATTAATATGATATTCTAACTACTAAAGCTGCAAATATAGATGCCCTGGTACTTATAGAAGCATCAGCAAAGCCCCACGATAAATCTTAACATAAATTACTAATTAATGATATTTACCTACAACAAATGTACTATACAAAGGACACACTACACTGAAAAATTTCAACTGCTGCATTTATTGATATGCTTTTTCTTACAGAAAATACATTCATAAAACTCCAGAAATATAAGATTTTTTCAAATTATATTACCACAAGTAAATTTACAACTTTTCATAGAGATACTTCTCTCTAGCAATATAGCAGTAATCTTTAGGGCAAAAATGTCAGCAATGTGTTGTTTAAAGAAAATAACGGTCTAGTTTAGGAACTTCTTGTGTCATGGGAAACACTCAGGTTTCTAAGATGGAAATTCTGATGTATTCATGTGCAAATGATACTCTTTACTACTTATTCCACAGTGGTGCTTTGGGTTCTTTTCCTTGACCCACTTCCCTCAACTATTGGTTAGAAAATATTTTCTTGGCAAGCATCTGCCTACTTTGGGAAATTTCATTTCCTCTGTAGTTGAAGTCATACATGCAAAGATCCTTCATAAAGGAAAAACCACTCTCAGGGTTTTGTACGTATTAACACATAAATGTTGGTGTCACTGAGCAACAAAACAGTGGTTAACTCTGTGATATACTAACTGGTGTTTTGATACTATTTCTAAAAAATCTAATATTGTTTGAAATCTGTGCTTATTACCCACATGCATTTACCAAAGAATTAAAGTCGTATATATTAATTATTTTTCTCCAAGTATAAACCAAAAGTAAAATCCCAAGCCCCTCAACTGACTAAACAGACCACCTCTTGGCCAAGGCCAAGACCCTAGAGAAACCTGAAAAACTGAATTCCTGGCCATGATGGGAAGAGAGGTCAGAGGCGTCTCCTTATATCCCATTCCTTTTGGAGTATGGGCACAACTAACTAGCATTAAGATTAAAATAGAAATCTATTTTAATATTTGTGGCAATAAGACACCAAATCTCTTTGTGGCAATAAGACACCAAGTTTTCAACAAAACCTAAGACCATGCAAGCAAAGATTAAGTCACACCCTACAAAGAATAAAATGGAAATTTTCTTTTAATAACTCTGTATAAGGTGGCTTGCTTTTTGGATTTGCTCTAGTATAGCATCACATGACAGCAGAGCCTGAAGGAAATCAAAATATCCTACCCCCAAATATATTTATTTGACATATTTTGAAATGGTTCTGCGAAGCCATCTTTTGTGAGGGAAATTTGCATCTGTGGAGAATCTCCATTAATGCAGCCATGCCTTCCCTTTCTAGGCCTTTCTTGGATCTAGGAGAGATCAGAATCTCTCCTCTCAGAATCTCTAGCTGAGATTCTGACATATTTAAGGTCTGAAAAGAGACATTCACCATTTATTCTCTCTGAGGGCTGCTACCAGGAGACTTCATCTACATAACAAGGGCCTTGGTGGGCCCCCCACCCCTCAGTCTCCTTATTTTCATTCAAGCGTTCCTTTCTATTGACTTCAAGTCTTTATACAATAGCTTAACCCTCTCAACAAATTGTCAACTAAAGAATGTCTTATAAGGGCATTCTTCGAGATGACCCACCTTTTCTGGCTGAACCAACTTATACTTTCCATGTATTGATTTATGTCCTTGTTTGTAACTCTTGTTGTTACAGGAAAGGGGTCCCTATCCAGACCCCAAAAGAGGGTTCTTGGATTTTGTGCAAGAAAGAATTCAAGGTGAGCCGAAAAGGAAAAGCAAGTTTATTAGGAAAGTAAAGGAATAAAAGAATGGCTACTCCATAGACAAAGCAGCCCTGAGTGCTGCTGTTTGCCCATTTTTATGCTTATTTCTTGATTATATGCTAAACAAGGGGTGGATTATTCATGCCTCCCCTTTTAGACCATATAGGGCAACTTCCTGATGTTGCCATGGCATTTGTAAACTGTCGTGGCGCTGGTGGGAGTGTAGCAGTGAGGATGACCTGAGGTCACTCTCATGGCCATCTTGGTTTTGGTGAGTTTTGGTCGGTTTTTTTATAGCAACTTGTTTTATCAGCAAGGTCTTTATGATTTGTATGTTGTGCCAACCTGCAATCTCATCCTGTGACTTAGAATGCCTAACCATCTGGGAATGCAGCCCGGTAGCTTTTAGGCTTATTTTACCCAGCTCCTATTCAAGGTGGCGTTGCAATGGCTTAGACACCTCTGACACTGTCATGCTAAAATGTATAAAACCAAACTATATCCTGATTGTCTGAGGACCCCTTATTCAAGGCTTCTTGGGTTTGTGTTTTCTCTGGGATGCAGTAATTCATATTGGCTCAGAAAAATCTCTTTACAATGTTTTACAGAGTTTCTTTTCCATTAACACGAGACTTATTTTAAAATTTTAAACATTTTTGTTCATAAAATTAATACAATTCTCACTGTTTAAAATGTGAAAGTATTGAAAAACAAAGGTAATATAATAAAATCATCCACTTTCCCACACTAAAGATGTTAATGTTATCATTTAAGTGGATTTTCTTCTGAATATACATTATGATACAATGTATCTCCTAAAAACAGAAAAGGTGACACAAAAGCTAGGGAATTGAGAAAAAGACCAAAAATAAATACAAAAAAACTGTGGAACCAACATAAGTTTCCATATATATGTTATTTGAGCACTCAAAACATGACATCAACAAAATACCTCCTTTTAGTCACTAAGTTCAACTTCCTTCCTCTTCAAACTTTTGTAGGACTTTCTGAAGAAACACTGGTAGAAATTAGAGAAATATTTGTAAGTCAAAAAAAAAAAGAGAAGTTGGAGAAAATGGCTTGAATGAAGCCAGGATAGTTCACAGACTAAGTAATCTATCTCTAGATTAAAAAACAGAAATTTACATAATGTATTCTGAAGTAATTATTCTGAGTTACTTAAGCAGATAACTCCTTACCATTTACATCTTGCATCCAATTTTCGCTTAATGCTAATAATTTCTTAAAGGTTCATTGCCTAAAAGCTCAAGGTAAAATCTAGACTGAAGTTTAATTATATTGATATTTCCAGGTGCTACAATATTCGAGTTGCATGAATACATTTTAAATATAGTTTACTGTTGACTATTCAACAAGAGCCTACCTACTTTATAATCATTTTGAAATCCCTTCAACTATTTTTAACGAGAGACATTCAGCTATTGCTAGCCTGCCAGCTGCATGGCCTTACACTAAGCAGTGAAGCTGCTTACACTAAGCAATGGAGCTGGATATGTAAAATATGTCAAAGGTATGGCCCACAGTGACTGGCACATAGTGTGTGTGCAGTAAATTTAGTTCCTATTTACTTCTTTCACAAAATAGATGTGACTTTTATTATCAAGTCCTGTTTTTTCTTATCTGATGCTTTATTCTTCTCATCTAGTACAATGCCTGTCACAAAATAAGATATCAATATACAAAAATAAATAGCAGATAAAAAAGAGGCATCTAGGAATTTAACTTTAGATATCTTTATTTTTTAAATTCTCTTCCATGTATCTTCAAAATTGTAAGAATTTGCATTTTACTACTTAATAAAACTATTGGTTATTTTGAACAGAAATGTATTTAAATTTACTGCCATGAAATAAATTGATTGCATAGGAAGATGTACTGTGTTTGCATTAAGCATTCAGGTCCTCCCAGAACACTATCACATATATCTGTGGCATGTGCCCCTCAGTTGAAGAATATCTGACAGAATTTTAATAAAGTTAATAAAAATATTACTTGCTAACCTTTAAAAAAACTCCAAAATAATCTCAATTTTTAAAAATCTATCTTTATTAGAGCAATAAATGATTATATAAAAGATTTACATATTGAACAACTCAAAATGAATTCAGGGCCTTTAATGATGAAAATAGATAACCTATCTTATGATAAAAGCCTATCCTCATTCTGACAGTTGTCTACATCAGAACACTGACAGGGTGCCCAAAATCCACAGTGGGAATCTAAACTCCGCTTTTATAAATTTGAAGGCCTATAGCAATTTGTTCTCAAACAATCTTTGACACCACTGCATTCACCTAATAATTTCACAGCAGAAAACACCAGCCTGATAACAACATATTTCAATGAGTTTTGATTGAATAACTCTCCTTCTTGGCACAAGCTGTAATAGCTTCTACATTCGGTAGCAAATGGCTTTTGATGCTAAGCCAAGGAAAGTGTTATCAAGGGATAGAGGTAATGTATACTTTGGGAAAATCCATCTGCCACATTAGAGTAATCTTCTAAATCTCAGTACTAGTCACGTCACATTTGTCTTCAAAAACTTCAGTGACTCCCCTTCATCTAACAAATAAGTCCAAACGTGAAGCATAGGTTAGGATAGTTTAAGAGCACATAAAACTGATACCTGACTATTAAGGATTAATAAAATAGTGATTTTTTTCACATATCATGAAGTCAGAAGTTAGTAAAGGAAAGGTAGAATGGCTCCAAAACATGAAAGAAATTAAAGTTTTTTTCTGTTGATTCATATGAAGCTTTTGTTTTCACATTTGTTTTGGTGTGATTGCAAGGTTGCTATTGTCTTCATCACTGCATCTACAATTAATGCAAGAAAGAATGGAGGAAGCCCTGCATGCTGCCCAGCAATCTTTCCTGCTGCATTCATTTCTCCACTGCCCAAGGACTATTTCATATGGCATCTCCTTAAGCCTCCATGCCTCCATACCACATCTTCACTTTCAGCTGATGACCTTGCTTCATAGTTCACTGAGAAACCTGAAGCAAGCAATAGAAAATGTCTATGAGCTTCCATCATCATATTTACTCCCACCAGCTTCAAGGTTGTATATTTTGCCAAAATGTTTTCTTGTTTACAAGATCTTATTCCATCTCAACCATGAGAGAATGTTGTTCTCCATCTCTGATTATTTCCGATCAACAAGTAAACATGCCATCATTTTTCTACCTTAGTTTAAAAAAACAAACAAACTTAAGTCCATACCTGTCTTTATTTATTGTGCATTCCTTCAAAGAATGATTTGTATATTATAACTGCTTTCGATATTTTTGTTGTCATTTTCTCTTGACCACAATTAAACCAGGTTTCAGTTCCCAACACACCAACAAAATGCTTCTTGCCAAGCTCATCAATGATCTCCACATTGCCAAATCCAGTAGACATTTTCAATTTTCTTTTCACTTGTATTACAAGTAAGCATTTGAAATAGTTAATCTCTCTACCTGCTTTGAAACTTTCTTCACTTGACATCCAGAATGCCCACTCTCTTCATTCTCTTCCTATGTCTCTGGCTGATCCTTCTAAATCTCCTTTGGTAATACCCTCTCTCCAACTTGAACTCTTGGCATGGGAAAGCCCCAGGACTCCGCTTCTCCCCTCCCCTCCCCTCCCCTCCCCTCCTCTTGTCTTCTCTCCACCAAATCCTGTGATCATCTTGTGCAGTCTCAAATCTTTAAAATTGTTTTTACGCTAACAGTAGCCAATATATATTTCCAGTCAAGATTTTTCCCCTGTCAAATTCCACTTTGACAACTCTACATGAATGTCTGATAACTCTCAAATTTTCAAGTCACAAACCAAATTTCTGATTTCTAAACCCATTAGGAAAGCAAACAATGAAACAAACAGAAAGCCCATTTTCTCCCAAATCTTTTTTTATCTTAATTTCTCAATAGCCATAACATTTTATCATTATCTTAGTACAAATTCTCAGCATTTTCAAGTCCTAAGTTGTCTCACATTTTAACATGTAATCTTCCAGAAACCTCCCTTCAAAGTACAGCATACCCAGACCCTGACCACTTCTTCCCACCTTCCTATTACTACCCTGTGTTGAATCACTATCATGTCTCACCTGATGACTCTAACAGTCTTGTCACTTGCTTCGCTGACATCAACTTTGACTCTTTACCATCTACTATCAACACAACCGCTAGAGAAATCCTGTTAAAAACCATGTCAAAGCTTGTCATTTCTTGGCTTGAAATTTCTAATGGCTTTCAGTCTCACAGAGTAAAATGCCTAAAAGATTCTAGAGCATCTACCTCTTGATAATTCTTCTCTGCCTTCCTTTCCTACTGTGCTTGCAATTCCTTGAACACAGTAAGCACATTCTTCACAGTTTTAGTACCTCATCTCCCTTATGCCCTGAATTCTCTCTCCCCAGAAATCAACAGGTGCAGTGCACTTTCTTACCTTTAAGTCTTTGATCAAATGTTCTCTTTTCAATGAGGCCCACTCTCATTGGTCATACTATTTAAAAGTAAAACATTTTTCCTGTTTGATATTCTTTCCAGGTTACTTATACCATATTATATATTTTGTATGATTCTTTTTCTGATGTGTTGAATGTCATCCTTTGCTCCATTAGAAAATTAAGTTTATCCACATCAGAGACTGTGTCTGTTCTTATTGTTTTATTTCATTACAGTATCTCCAGTGCCTGACTTATAAAAAATTGTAAGAAATGCTTGTTCAAATACATAAGGAAAACATAAAAAATTGTGTAACATGGCCACCCCCAGAAGTCTTGAAACTGTACATTTTTCTTGGGTACATCATTTCAGTGAACAAAAATGGGGTTCCATTTATAAGAAAAACAGATTGAAATGGATATGGGGTAGATTGCCAATAGAGCCTTCCACACATAGTATTCAAAGAAACAGCCCAAGGCTATACTTTTTAGCCTCCTTTCCCACCACTTACACAACAGAACTATTTCACAGCATAATACATATTTTTAAAAATATTTCTTAACATTTGCTAAAGTTATTTTCTTTTCTGAAATTCATTCTCTGGGCACCTACCTAAAGAAATATTCTATTTTACATGACATTCAACATTCTCTCTTCTGTAGAACTCATATTGAAACTTGAAGACCGTTGTCAAGTTTCACCTGTTCCAGGAAGCCTGCCCCTTCCCTCCATGGGCTTTTATATGAAAGCATTTATCTGTTTCTATTACTGTACACATAGTTCTATATTTGTTATTTCTGACTTCTCAGTTGTTGGTTGGTAAGTTCCATAAGTGCAGAATCTGCTTTTTATTAATTTCTTAATTTCCTTTTGTTAATTATTTTTCTATTTGTGCCTTCATTTTCCTCTGAAATAAATGAATTAATGTACATTATGAAACAGCACATTTTTCAAAAATATCTCTTGGGGCTATTCCTAAGTCTCACAGAGTTTGAATATAAATTTCACTTTTCAGGGCTATTTAAGGGCTTTAAAGTAAGAGACAAACTGTTGTTTTATTTGCCTTAGTCCCATCTTAAAACCAGCTCAAAAATTTCACTTTTTCCCTTGTTGAGTTCTCCCCACATTCCCATTGCTTTTCCCCAATTGGTTTTTATTCTCACTTTCACCTCTACTTCTGTACTACTTAATCTTAGGCTCAAAGTCAAGGTCTTAAAAAAAAAATCTGAGTTCACTGGACTAAACTGGACAGAACTAGATTGGGCTAAGCAAGGTTGAACTAGGCAGAATTTTGAAAAGAGCCTTGGGTTAGTTGGGAATGGAGCTAGTTGTCCCAATGCCATTTAACTAGCCTAGTGCCTAGTACATAACAATATCCAATAATTTTTATCAGATGAGTGACTGAATGTATAATTGAGTGAAATTAATGTAGAACAAGAAACAGAGCCAAGTGTACAGGGAAATTTAGGATATGCTAACAGTGGCATTTCAAGGCCATAGTCATGAAATGGATGAAATTACAAAATAAATGTTGAAGCCATTCTCATATCAAAATTCATTCATAATCATTTAAAATGAATTAAAGGGCCAAATGTGGTGGCTCACACCTATAATCCCAGTGCTTTGGGAGGTCAAGGCAGGAGGATCACTTGAGGTCCAGAGATTCGTTGTGCATGCCTGTAGTCCTAGCTACTCAGGAGGTAGAGGCAGGAGGATCTCCTGAGCCCAGTAGTTTGAGGCTGCAGTGAGCTATGATCCAGCTACTGCATTCCAGCTTGGGTGACAGTAAGACAGTAAAATCCTGTCTCAAAAAAAAAAAAAAAAAAAAGTATTAAAGAACTAAGGTAAAATATAAAATCCTAAAATTGGAAGAAAAATATAAGTGCATTTATATTACCTTAATACAAAACCCCAGTATCTGAAAGGAAAAGATTGAAAGTTTTACTTCCATAAACATAAAATTTTTTGATTAACCAAAATAAACAAGAAAACAAAACAAAAATACCAAAAATGTTTTTTAAAAATGCACTTGAATATTAAAAGACAAATGGAAAATGTTAGGGTGAAGGATGCAATACAAATTATGAAGATTTAATATATTCAGATTATAAATAAAGATAAACACTAGTTCAAAATTTTTAAAAAGACATGAACAATTAACAAAAGAAGAAATACAACTGTGCAATGAGAATATGAAAAATTTCAGTTTCACTGGTAATGAAAAAATAAATATTAAAATGATATCCACTTATTAAACATTGATAAGATTGACCCTATCCAATTTGGGTATGTATAAATAGATAAACAGCAAAAAAACTATGTGCTGTTTGTGAGAATATAAATTTTTAGGAAGTTTTTGGAAACTAGGCTGGCAGTATGCATTAAAGTACTTAGAAATGTTTATAAACTTTAATTCAAATATTTCATTTCTAAGCATATATATGTGAAATATGCATGTGTGTCAATTATATATATATGGAATACATATGTAGTAGAATATGGCATATTGCATAGCTACTAAAATGATGATACACATTTACATTTTTATGTGCAAAAATACTCACAATATTAGGTTAAAATATTCATTTATGAAACTATATTCAGTAGTCAAATATTTTTTGATTATGTACAACACTGTTTTAGGTGTCAGGGATACTGCAATAAGCAAACAGACAAAAATTCTTGCCCTCATGAAGCTTGTAGTCTAAAGGAGAGAAAGAAAAACATAAACAAAAATATGAAGTATTTTATTAGAATGTGGTAAGTGCTATAAAGAAAAATGAAAGAAAAAATAGAAATTGAAATTATTAGATTATCCTTAGACGAACAATAAAAACTGTTAAAAATGGCTATCTATATGTTAGAGTACTTTCTCTTTTATAATTTTTATATTATCCAATTTTTATAATGTGTTATTTATATAGGAAAGTGTTTCCTTATATCATAAGGAGAAATATAAATATAAAATACAAAAACATAAAATTTTAAAATTCCTTTGTCACAGTTTTCTACAGAATTCAGGTTATACTAAAAGCAGTTGATTTTCTGGGATTGAGAGAACTTTCAATAATTTGATGGGACTTAAGTAATAAATCTGTCGAAGACTGGCAGAACAAGAAAATATTCCCAAACCATCCATTTTACCATGCTATTTTCTAACTGAAATTACTAGTTTCAGTATTTTTAGTTTCTATTTATTGCAATAGTTCCACACTACCATGGTGCTAAGTTGTGGATTTTAATCTTACAAATATCTTCGTTTATCCTGCCATCTCTTAGTTGAACCTAGAAACAAGTACCACCTCTAAAGCCTAATATCTATACCATGATTTGGTTACAAATATCAACAAGTGGTTCTATGGGGGTGGGAGGTTGGGGCAGGGAGAAGAGCCCTAATGTGTATTATTTACCGATTTCCATAGTGTAAATAGTCTTATCATGGCTGGTTCTGTGAAGGTAGGAAGAGCTGTGCACAATAGGGTCTTGTGAACCAGTTCAAACCAGCTGCAGGATACCATTGATCCATGCCCTTCATCTTCTGTCCACTTCACATATCTACTATATTTTCACATTTTACTATGCCTATCTACTCCTACACTATTCCTACGCTACTACACATTCTACTATTGCTCACAGGAATGCTCTGCCCAAGCTAGGTGAGAACACTCCTTACATGCCGACCTTACTCCCTGTGTTCATGCTGCTTCCCTTATTGGGATTATCTGCCAACCTCTGTCTATTTATATAATACCTACAGTTCCACATATTACTGTAGTTCTAAGCTCCATTTAAACTAACCGTACATCACATGATAAAGTTTTTCGGGACGATTATGTATCTTTTTTCAGAACTCCTTCAACTTATATTTTGGAAGCACTTATAAGTCAGGCACTGGGTTCAGAGTCTACATACAGCAAACCAAACAGTCACAGACCATGCTCTCATAAAACATACTTTTAGGACATTAATTAAGTAATCGTGAAAATGTATAATGAGAAACAGACAAATGTTAAAAAGAATGCTAAAAGAGCACAAGAGGTAACTTGATTTCTTCCGTGAAATCACATCTTCTGCCCCTGTGTGGTCTGTACCTTATTTCTGAAAGTGTATTATGTTCCTCAAGTTCAAGGTATCCATAAGGTAACTTATTGTAAATAAGTTATATCTACAATAACTTTGCCTTGATTCAGCATTACCTCTGCATGTAGTATGTTTTCAGGGACAATGTTGGTTGGTGCTTAAAAAGAACGTCTTGATTAGACCGTACCTGACAGAGCAACTGATGACACTGTTAGGATGACAACAGAGGCCAAGGATCTAAGAAGATGTCCAGAGAAGAAGGCAGGCAAAAACTGAGGCTGACCAACGGCCCTGGCCAGACCACTAACTAGAACTGAAGCAGAGAAGAGCTTCCCAGAGAAGATCACGTAGAGCTGACAGGAAGAGGTTAATCAAAGACTGAAGGACACTTACAGCAGCTGATAGAAGATCAAATTAAAGAGGCTCTCTACTTTCATACAACCTACTTTCCAAATTCAGAGGTCTAAAGCAGTCACTTTGATTTTCTTTCACAAAACAAGCATCCCCCCAAAATTGGATATTAACAAACTTACTTCACTCCATTAATGATAATGAATCAAAAGGATTAGGAGCAATAGTAGGGTTTTAAACAATCAATAGGTGACTTCATATGCAGAAGTGTCTTTTTTGCAAATATCTATTGATTGGCCAAGGCAGGCCTTCTGACCTCTCCAACTCTCAGTCTCATCCTTAATGTTGTTTATGGTTTGATTTGGGAGAAGTGAAAGAAGTTTTTGAAAAAAAAATTATAAGTAAAACAACAAGAACAAAAAACTCTATGTATCTTAGTTACAAAAGAGACCCCCCAAAATCAGTGTGAAACATTCAGTTTCTCTTCTTACTCCATGTTTGTAGAAATACATAATATTAAAGTTGAATTCATATGTAATATTTATATACATAAGACATTCCTAAAGAAAAATTTTGTTAGACTTAAGATAATCTAAGGCCACTGTTCTTTATAGGTGCACAGCATTGAGGAACATGAGTTATTTAATGTAAGACTTCCAGATTATTCTGACTAACTCACCACTTTGCCCTTCATCTCTTCAAAACAACTATTTTGAGAACCACTGGTATACAGCCAACAATGTTCAAACCAAACTGTGGCTACATTTTCTAAATATCATTCTTCCACAATGCTCGTATCAGCAACCTATTTTAAACAACCACAACTATAAAAATAATTTTGTACTTTTTATGTTAAAAGTACAAAAGTTGTAGTAACTTTCTTTTATAACTCATCTTCTCTGGGGAAAAACAAGCAATTTCTGCTACCAAAGAAAAAAAGAATTTGCTACCAGTATAAAGTATATAAAGCATTAATAGCTTTGTAATGAAGTAAATCTCTTCAACTTCTTTGATCTTTTTAATCTCACAAAAAACTGAAGTAAATCTCAAGATCTATCATTGTTTTCATACCAAATGAAACTTTTATTTATAAAAACAAATGCTGAGCATGAGTAGTGCCCTCAAATGATTATAATCTTTTAACATGTGCCTTATACCCTTTCTTAGCTTTTATTTGTATACAGAAAAAAGTTACTGGATTTCTGATACCAACATCTCAGCAGCAACCATCCTTCCCTTACTGACATTTCTCCGCTTTTTTTCAATATTTTAATCGTTGGTTATCAAAACTGTCAAATTTCCTCAGTTCTTTCAACACTTTTAGTGATACATTAAAGTTAAGATAAAAACCCACCTAGGGTTAACACAGTCTCTTGTCTCCCTGAATGGACGTCAAAAAAAAAATATATATATATTTTTATATATATACAGATTTATATGTATATACATAAATACGTATATATACATACATATACATACATATAAATATGTATATATACATACATATACATACATATAAATATGTATATATTTATATAAATTCTGTTGCTAAGTCTGAGAGGTTTAACTTCCATAAGCCTATCTTAATTTGTTTTTGTTTTAGTTTATACCAGTGGCTCTCAAATATTAATATATATCAAAATTACCTGTAAACTTTGTTAAAATACAGATAGATGGGACTCAACCTTAGAGTTTCTGATTGAGCACACATAGAGTAAGACTCAAGATTTTGCTTTCTAACAAGTTTCTAGATGATGTTGATGTTTCAAGTTGGGGTATCATGTTTTGGAAGACACAGACTTAGATGAGTACATTCCATTCTAGGGTTACCTATAATAGCTACATTGCTCAAATGACTCTTAGGAAAAGTTCACAGTAATAACCAAAATTTCAATCTGAGGATTAAGTAAGTTTCATCTACTTTTTTGTCTTATTTCTACAGCCCTGCAGGGATATTAAAAAATATTCAGCCCTATCATCAACACAGACACATCAAAGAACTTAATATTCCAATAAAAGAGGAATCAATGTGTGCACGGTTTGTTGGTCAAAGGTTAACATCCAGAAGACAGCTATTATCACCTTTTTGCAGTGAAGAAATATAAGTGCTAATAGCTTAAAGGACTTACCTGATGTCATATAAAAAATTTCAAGTGGTATTTAGAACAGGACCTGATCAGCATTTTTAGTTCCTTATTTGTGGTAATAATCAAAAGGCAATGCTATTTGTTTCTGGATGGCAGAAACAAAAATCTTACTTCTTATTTTCATACTTAAAAGATGCTGTTTTGGAAATACTCTATAAATTACAAATTTTAATGATAATTTTATCTAATCAAGAAAGTGAAAATATTTATGTTTGCCACACATTTCATCACCAATAGATAATAAAAAATTGTGTGATAGAGTACCTGCTTGCATGAAACCTACAAATACACAAGGGCTTTCATTAAACAAAATAAAGGGAACAAATACATCTTCACAGAGTATTAGCTAAGCAACAACCTGGGGACCTAAAGGCCTCATCTCTCACTCCCAACTTTTTCTCTAGTGAGCTTTTAAGAAAGTCCGACCATCTCTCTGGACATAGGGATCCTCATCTGTAAAAGAAGAAGTATTGGACTAGAAGAGCTCTAAATTCATTCAAGCAATAAAGATGATAACATAGCAGTCAAGCAAAAATTTATCTCTTTCACTTTGTATTATTTTTCTCATGTAACTGAAGATAGCAATTAACCTCAGCTAAAAAGCATATTTTTAAACGTATATTAATCTGGCCATATACCTTAAAAACAAGAGATTCACTTTCTGCAGCAAAATGTTTGGTCCCAAAGTGAATCTTACATCAAAAAATAAACAAACAAGCAAATAAATACATCCTGTTGAAATTATTGCACACTGTAAGAACGATAGAGAATGAATGTACACTAAATTTTAAAGCACTCCATGAGTTGTTATTATCATTGTTTGTTAACATTTATGGGCTAGTTCTTTCTCCCTAATAAACGATTAGACTCTATTTTTAAATGTTGCCTTACCTTTCATAGCTATCTCTCTCTTGCTCTCTCTCCCACACACGTACAGTGCTTTTTATTTTCCTTTATTAAGTCAGCTTCAAAATAATTACGAAAAAAAGGTTTCAATTTAAATTACAATTAGGGTCTGATTGCACCCCCAGAAAAAAATCAAATTGGTAAATTTAGGCATCTCGGTAAACTTCAATAAAAGATACTCAGTAGGAGCCAAATAGCGCAAATATTTATTAAGAATATAACATTGCCATTATATAAATAGAGAACATTACCTCAGAAAAGATATATTTCAAATAATGTTTCAAAAAAGCATTACATTGCTCTATCATTTGAATAGATACATTAACATTCCATTTAATTTTCACTTTCAAAGTAGCATATCTATTTTGAACTCTAAGGCCAGAAATAATCACTAATGTTTCTCATTTTAAAAAGGTTTTTCAAATCCAAATATTAGTCACAGACCTTGTTATGACGAGGTATGAAAATATGCAAAATAAATGTCTTTAAAATACTCATCAACCTCCACTGATTTGTACCACTTGGATACCTGTTGGCCAACATCATTATACTACCAAAAGCAATAAATCTGGATTAGAGAATTCTGTCTCTCATTATTACTAGAGAAAAATAAAATAAAACTCACCATCCTAGAAAATTCCTCTCTACTTAACATTATATTTGCTATTGTGAACATTTTTACTCTAAGAAAGAGTTCAGATTTTATGAAAATTTAAACATTCTTGAGAGCAGTTAACTGTTAATCTTGATTGGCCATTTAAAACAAACTGGATATACTGATAACCTGAAGGTCACTTTGGTGGCTATCACCCCATTGTAAAAATTGGGAGAAGGGCTAAATAAAGAGAAGAACTTAAAGAAAGATTGCATCATTCTTAGTGCATTAAGATCAAAATATAATATTGATTTGCTCGTATAGGTGAATGATGGATATTCCATAAATTATTTATATAATCGTATATTTTCATTGTTCCTTTTATGGATTACATACTTAGCAATTATCATGTTAGGGGGTAGGACAAATTTCTGCCTCTGTTTGTTTATTTGTTTGTTTGTTTTTCACTAAATGAACCAATCTACTGAGGCAGGTTTATCTCTTTCTCAGGCCAATCATTGTGCAGAGGGCTGTGCTCTCACCAGTAGAGAATGTAATTGGCAGTGGCTCTGCTTGTTGCCTTCCCTAGAGCACTACAACATGCCCCAGTGTTCCCACAGTTCATTATGAGACTGCCTACCTCTTTCATAAACTGTGGAGTCACTTGGGAATCTATTTATACTGACAACTAAAAGGTGCCATTCCATATGGTGAAATATGACACTATTAAAATTAAGGTTTTTGAAGATAATTCCCTCATAAAAAATGCCAAAAATGTAATATAATATAAAAACTTTATACCACTGACTTTTTGTAAAGTATAATCCTAATTATATCCCCAAAATGCCTAGAAAAAAATAGAAGGAAATACATTAAAGTGCTATATACAGATTCTCTTATTGATTATTACAGATTTTAAGTTTTTTCTTTCACTCTGCTTCTAGTACTTTTTAATAATAATAAAAAAAACAGTAAGCATGTTTTCAACATCATGGTTACAGAAAAAGAGAGAGAGCTCTGAAGGGACCAGCGAAAGCAAAGGACCAAATAGAGAATTTGTGCCTGGCATGACCTTTTAAAAGTCAGCAGAAATTCTGAACACTCAAGGAGTAAGGGTGTTTCAGAGGAAATGAGTTTACAAACTGAGAATCATCAAGTAATGGACACAAATATAAGGAAGAGGAAGAAGATGAAGCAGACAAGGTGATACGTTCAAAAATATTCATGATGTTTTAGATATTTAAATTTATGTTAATAATTTAAGTATTAATGTGAATTTAAATATGATCATACTAGACACAAAGTGAATGGTTAAAATTAAGATTTTATGTTAAACTGCTACTTGAATCAAAGGAATATCAAAACCACTATTTAATAATAGTATTTTAAAAAATTTTTAGAGCCCAACAGCTTTCACTTTCCTTTGCTTTTCAATTTCTTTCAAAATTACAAAATTATACTAAAGGCCACTTAATTAGTGATCTCTTTCAGTTTGCATGTCTGCTAACGAATGCTATAGAAGGCAATAAAAACCTGTTTATCAGTCAAATAATAATCTGTGTAAAATATATTCATTGTTATAATTCTGGACTTTTAAAGGTAGAATTCATTATAAGGTTTTGTGAAATGTTCTGATACACAGTTCTTCCCAATGGCTAGGAAAAGATATTTATATGAAATATAAAATAACACAACCACTAATGAAGATGGCAAACTTATATTCCTAGCTCTATGCCCAGAATTTAAAAGAAAAAATCCATTTGATTAAAATTCACCTTAAGTTTGTCTGAAATTAATGGATTCAAGTATATTCTAACAACTCTTCCAAAGGGGGAGGAATAGTGACCTAACACTAACAAAATAAATGATGTAGGCTTTTACAAACAACAATTTCAAAGATACATTTATTAAGCTATTCGAAAGACAGATATCTATGAGGTTTTTAAAAATTATTAGAATTCAGGCCGGGCACAGTGGCTCACGCCTGTAATCCCAGCACTTTGGGAGGCCGAGGTGGGCAGATCACGAGGTCAGG
Source organism: Homo sapiens (assembly GCF_000001405.40). Classification (NCBI taxonomy): domain Eukaryota; kingdom Metazoa; phylum Chordata; class Mammalia; order Primates; family Hominidae; genus Homo; species Homo sapiens. Next base: position 105,172,061 of record NC_000003.12, read on the forward strand.
AGATCGAGACCATCCTGGCTACCATGGTGAAACCCTGTCTCTACTAAAAATACAAAAAATTAGCTGGGCGTGGTGGCGGGTGCCTGTAGTCCCAGCTACTCCAGAGGCTGTGGCAGGAGAATGGCGTGAACCCAGGAGGCGGAGCTTGCAGTGAGCAGAGATCGCGCCCCTGCACTCCAGCCTGGGCGACAGAGCGAGACTCCGTCTCAAAAAAAAAAAAAAAAAAGAAAAAACATTATTAGAATGCATAAATCAATTCAGCCAAGGTTTATTATTAACATTTTATAAACTAAATATTCAAAGTACTTCACAATCAGACCTCACTAGTTTATGGCCTTACTTCCTATCACCCATCATTCTAGAAAATGGAGTAAGAAAGTTTCTACAAAATTAAAATCTAAAGACTTTAGGGTTCTTGCATAATGACCCCATAAGTGAAAAGTAAAACCATAAACAATCATATCTGTGCTTAGGAAATTGAGCTTTTAGAAGTAACAATAACAACAGTGATGTTCCAGAAGATAACGGCTGTAATGCTATATCAGAGTTACACTTATTTAAGTTTAAATATGTGCCCATGAAATTTCTTACAAAGCTTTAGACACAAGTGCAAAGACTGCACAAAGAAAACAAAACTTCCAGTTTCAACTCAGAATTCACACAATAATAAGGGCATAGGTTTAACTAAAGTTATATTTCTGATTCCAAATTTGCTACTTGCCTGAAATCTTCTTGAGGGTAAAAACTATATGTGTCTCAATTATCATTCCATCTGTAGCTATAAGCACAGCACTCAGTAACTATGTCCTAAGTAAATCCACTCATTTTAATTGAATTCACATTTACACTCTGTGATAAGCACTGGTGATATAAAAATCACAAAGTATGTGTCAGAGCCCACTTGCAGTTGTTTTGGCCTTGGTTTCAACATCTTTTAAAAAAATACTGGACCAAATAATTTCTCAAGTTCTTTCCTACCTTGAAATTCTAAAATTTTATTACCTTAAGTATTAATTATACATCTTTTAAAAATATTCCGAGCAACATTAGAGCAACACTATCAATTTTAACTTATCTGTGAAATGGTAAGGAACAGTGGTTGTAAAAGTTAGTGGTCAGAAAACATGGAAATTGAGGTCACACTTTTTTTTTTTTTTTTTCTGAGACAGAGTTTCACTCTTGTTGCTCAGGCTGGAGTGCAATGGCATGATCTTAGCTCACTGCAACCTCTGCCTCCTGGGTTCAAGCAATTCTCCTGCCTCAGCCTCCTGAGCAGCTGGGATTACAGGTGCTCGCCACCTCACCTGGTTAATTTTTGTAATTTTAGTAGAGACAGGGTTTCACCAAATTGGCCAGGCTGGTCTCGAACTCCTGACCTCAGGTGATCCGCCTGCCTTGGCCTCCCAAAGTGCTGGGATTCAGGCATGAGCCACCAGGCCCAGCCGGTCAGACAGTCTTGATTCTAATAAAATGAGAGAAACCCACACAGTAATTTGAACACAGATAGTTTAGTATAATTCATTTTTACCTATAACAAGGGATCAGAATAAGGACAGATTGACTAGTAAGAAATAATAGGAGACCGGGCACGGTGGCTCACACCTGTAATCCCAGCAATTTGGGAGGCCGAGTTGGGAGGATCGTGAGGTCGGGAGTTCAAGACCAGCCTGGCCAACATAGTGAAACCCCATCTCTACTAAAAATACAAAAAATTAGCCAGGTGTGATGGCGGGCACCTGTAATCCCAGCTACTTGGGAGGCTGAGGCAGGAGAATTGCTTGAACCCAGGAGGTGGAGGTTGCAGTGAGCCGAGGTCACACCATTGCACTCCAGGCCGGGCAACAGTGTGAGACTCTGTCTCAAAAAAATAAATAAATAAAATAAAAAACAAGAAATGAAATCTAAAAAATATATCAATAGCAGATATAAGAAGCAGTCACTACCCCTAGGGCTTGGATACAGGCCTTATAGGAGAGGGCATAGCCATACTTGTTGAATGATGGAGAATTTGCTCAGGCGCCTAGCTTGCAGAACTTGCTGGAATCTTGTTACAGAGTTCTGTGAAAGCTATTCACTAAGAGGTGCCTTTCACTACAAAACAATCCAAGTGGAAGCTGCTGGCCACTGGCTGTGGCTGCCTGGCATACACTGAAGGTACTGGATGCTGAGGAAGCTGCCCACCATACAGGAGCCAAGCAATGAAGAAACTATTCATGCTGTGAGAGAGCCTACTGAACAAGCACTCCAAAACCAGAAAGCAAAGTCCTTTCCTCCCACATTGCCTCTCCATCACTCGGTACTGACAAAGCTTAATATTATACCAGTTGGCAAAGGGCCCATATCTGTTTTCACAGAGCAGGCAAAAAGGATGAATTTGGAGCTGAGAGGCAATAAACAGATAAGGAGCACAGCCCACTCCTTTGATTCAGTTTCCATATGCTCCCTGCTACTCACACTCTGACTGCCATACAACAACGGAACAACTTTATATGTTACGTAACACTGTATAGTGATCCTTCTTAAAAGAGAAGGTTTTATTCTTCTCTCAAAGTGAGGAACAGCTCAAAAAGTCATTGTATCCATCCCAGGCTGCATTAATTGCTTCTCAAATTCAGTAGCAGTACCACTGATTATTCTGACCTAGAGACTAAATTGTAAGTTGCACCACCAGTATCATCTATATAATATAAAAAAGAAAAGTGAGAGACGAAAAACCATGGTTAACAAATATATGTTTTTAAATGAACACATGTATCTAACACATATGTACAGATAAACATGTATATGTAGTCAAATAAAAATATGCAAATCTTCTACAGTCTTCATTTCTATAATTGGTAATAGGATTTTAATTAATATATTTGGCTTCTTCTGTCATTACCCTTTGAGTATTACCTCTACCATCTGCCAGAATCTTAGCCAGGTGAGGTTTGAGTGACCTAATCCTTCATTGACGAAGAATCTGAGTCCTCAATTGTTCCATTTTTCACCTTTGGTAAGTTGCTTGAACTCTCTAAATTATTGCAACCTCATTTATAAAATAGCAACAAAGGTAGTTACTTTTTACCTTCAAACTTTGTGATTGAATATTAAACGAGTTAAAATATTAAACAAGTTAAAGCATGATGAACTCCTAGTACATAGTAGATATTTTCAAGCCTTTCTGTATGTTATCTATATCAATGCTTCCCCTCATAATAAAGGTAGCAGGAGACAGGTTAGAAGAATTACACATCAAGCAATATTTTCCTTTTGACTTCCAAAGTAATTTTCAAGGTAAGCTTTCAGAGATGCTCATATTGTAGTCCCTATGTTTGGATCTTATTTGAAAGACTGGAGAACAAATGCTTTATGTCTTAAAGTTGGAATCTTTCTTCTTTCTTTCTACATTTCTGTGGTGTTTATTACTATAAATATGCATGAATTTGTCCTAGTCCCATGTCTGTAAATTTTGAGTCTTATTACCTAGAACAAATCACTTTACCTATCTGTAGTTCTTTTCTTCTTTACAAAATGAAGAAATTGTCTTTCAATTATACTATGATTCTATTCCTGGTGACTTTTGAGTTCTGCCCAGGTATACTTTGCATATGGTAAACAGATACATCTTTTGTTTATGTAAAGAGCACAATATTCAGACTAGAGCGATAGCAATTCAAAGGCCATCATTTGCCAAATACATAACTTTGTGTGAGTTACTTAACTTTGGGGCCTCAGTTTCCTCATTGTAAAATGGAAAAAAATAAGACTTTATGAACATTAACATGAAACAGGAGCTCAACAAATTGTAGCTGTGTTATTTTAATCAAATACATGTCCATATTAATTCTAAGTCATATCATCACTTTGTTATGATCCAGGAAGAAAGAGAGAGAGAGAAAAGGAAGGGAGTGAGAGAGAAAGGAAGGAAAAGGAGTTTCCAATTAAATTATGACCTATCATCATTGCAGATGCTTTCCAATTTCAATGATGGTGTAATGTAAGAAGAAAAGGTATTTTTAAAATCAGTGAAATAAGACATTACCATTATTGTTATTCCATGAACATATACCACTCCAGTTGATAAGACACAGCAATCATTTTTCATCTCCATTCCAGTGATTAAAATATTAAATCTATATTACTGTATGTGGAAAAGAAAGAGCAAGTACTATGTGTCCTTTATGGAAGGGTGGGGTCAAAGCATTTTTAAATAAATTAATTATAGAGTGCCTACTATGTGAGAAATAGGATGTTAGACACTGGAGATATAAAAGTGACCTAAAAGAACCAAAATCCATATTCATATTGGAGTATACAGTCTGGAAGAGAAGAAAAGCATTAATATAATTTGGTGAGGATAGTAAGTAAAGAGAAGAAGTATTTGACAAATGAACAAAGGATAATATTGTATTTTATTGTTTTCTTAAAATAGAACATGGAAAAGAATATTTTGAAGTACCTACTCTGGAAAATTTTACATGTATGGAATGCAAACAAAGTACTGTAAGATGAATCAATGTGAAGCAAATGATTCTGTGATCAGAGGCAAGGTGCCTCTAGGATTGGAGTAAGAAGCCCAGAACATTTTAAGGAAAGAAACAGCGAAAATATCCTTCTCCTAAGCCTGGTTAATTTATGACCCTTCTGTCTTCAAGAATCTAAAGTTTTGATTCCTTAATTAGACAAAAAAATGCATAAGGAAAAAATAGATTTGCTAGTCCAAAACAAAAAAAGAGCAAAATGAAGCCGTAGAACAAGTTGCCAACTTGGAAACAAAAATGACACACTTTAAGGTTTTTCTGTCATCTCAATCAGGAACAAACATATATTCTCCAACTTTAGGGGAGAAAATATATCTTTTCCTCACCTGTCCTAGGTTCCTGGTGGGGGCTCCTCTAACGCAAAACAAATTAACAGAAGAAAAGCAGAAATATGTATTTAATATGAGTTTTACACGACATAGGAGCCATTATAAAGAAATGAGGACCCACAGAAATGTGTAAATCTGTGTATTTTTTTTATACTAAGTTTGATGAAGTGAAGAGTCACAGAGAAGTATGACACGATATAAAAGTAGGATCTAATCGTATTAAATTGGAGAAAACATAACAAAATCTGTTTGTTCAGGTTCTCGTGTGTCCCTGTGTCTTCAGGGAACAGGATGTTTTTTTCCTCTAGGTGTAGGAAGGTCACCTCTAGAATGATCTACTTCAGGGGAAGGTCAGAAAATCTTTCCTAGGTTTTATGACCTGCTTCTGGGGAGAAGGGCAGAGGGAAAGTGAGAATGATATTCCTGCTTCTGCTGTTTTCTCAAATGCCAAGGTACCATATTTTGGGATAATGTATCCTAAACTCCATCACTAGATAATAGTGGTTATGGTAATACTGGTTTAGCAACAGGGCCAGAAGTCAATTAGCAATCAATTGTTTACTTAAAAGCATACTTTGTACATCTTTCTGAGGGTAAAATAATGTATTTTTTTCTTCTACCTTTAGAAATTGTTTTGTTTTAGCTTCAAAGCTACTGTAAATAAGCATATTGCTTAGTGTTTTTAACAAAGGAAGTACTGAAAAAAAATTAATGACAAACATACAAAAGAAACTTTTATGCATAATTTTGCCAAATCTTTTTCTCTCCAGAAAGCATCACAGGCAGAGTATCACAGTATAAAATGTATAAACTTCTGCAAAAATAAATTCTCCATTCCAACGAATCCATTTGGTATTTCTACATGTTGCCAAATGCTTTCCATGTGTTTCAAATTATATGAACATTAGTAATTAAATATGCAATATACTCTGCCTTCTGGACCCATTTACATTAACTTCTTAAAGAAGCACTCAGCTATCAAGTTCTGGATTTCGCCTGTGGCCCTGTGACAGCAGGTCATCTTACCATGGAAAGAGACTTACAAGCAAGGCATGAGAGAAAAGATAATAACAACACATTTCTAATACCGAATACAAAAAAAGAAGAAAGGCAGAAAGATAAAATTCTAGAATAAGCCATTCCTAATAAAGGCCAATCTATGAAGAGCAGACATATGAATAAAAACCAGGTAGAGTTTATAGAATTCAGAATTTCCATTTCTGAAATTCTATATAGGCTTTAGTATCAAGCCTGTCTCTGGAGGGATTCTGAGCACCTGATTTTTACTTATGAAAGAAATGGACTTAGAATTATCTGGGTAAGCATTACGAATTTAACACATGTATATATGTTTGCTCTATCTCAAACACCACAAAATTGCAGCAATTAAAATAAAAGACTAGACTCACAAAGTTGAAGAAAACTAGAGCAATGCAGAGTAGAGACATTAACGAAATTTCAGAAACTGGAAGGCAAGTAGGCAGTTATTATTGCTTTAGGAGACCTGTATAGAGAAGGGGTATGTGTGAGCAGAAGGTGGGGTTCGCAGTGAGTCTAGCAGATTCACACCACAGGAGACTGAGGAATTGGAAGGATCAGTTACTTCAGTGAAGACGCAAAGAAGAGCAGAAAGCAAACTAAGTAGCTGAGGGTCTTTACAAAAGCTCTTATATCCTCTTCCCATATCCCAATCAGCCAATCAGCCAAGCAATTATCTCTCTTCATGTTTGTGTTAAAGACCGAGGACTTAGTCCCGGAAAAGTTTGAACAATAGAAGAACTCATCTAAAACTATAAGGCACGGAGAAGAGAAGAGGTAAGTAAGGTACTAAAAATGGGGTTTAAATAAAAACATTCACTGAATACTGAGCCCACCGGCATTCCCCATCTTGTGCTTAGACTACTAGCATCCGGGTCTATATTCCCCAGGCAAAGATAGAAGGAAAAATCAGATTTTAAAAAATCCTTGCCAGGCGTGGTGGCTTACACCTGTAATACCAGCACTTTGGGAGGCTGAGGCTGGCAGCTGGCTTGAGTCCAGGAGTTCCATACCAGCCTGGGCAACATAGTGAATCCCTGTCTCTACTAAAAATACAATAAATTAGCAGAGTGTGAAGACGCACGCCTGTGGTCTCAGCTACTCAATAAGCCAAGGTTGGAGGCCGGCTTGAGCCTGGGAAGCCGAGGCTGCAATGAGCCTTGATTGTGTCACAGTACTCCAGCCTAAGTGACAGTGACCCTGGCTCAAAAATCAGAAACAAACAACAAACAAAAATCCTACTGACACTGACAATAGGGGATCCTCTCAAACGCAACAACAAAAAGCTGGAGTTCTCTCATGGGTAAAACTCGGCAGGAAACCCACCCCACCCCAAGAAACAACAGCTTCAGTAAGCACTCCCAGTGCCTCTCTCTTAATAGAAATTGGGGCCAATAATCACCAGAATGTTGTGGAAAATCTCTAATATAAAACGTGGAAATGAAAACAGAAAAAAAAAACCAAGGCAATTTAAAAAGCAAAAGATATTTAAAAAATATTGTGTTGTCTTAAAGAAATGAGAGAAACATTGTATCTGCAGCTCCAAATCAGAATGCTATCTTTTATGAAAGTATTATTCCAAATAACAACGACAACACACACACACACAATCTTAGAAAATTAAAATATAATAGCAAACACTAAACATAATAGACATATTGAAAAATAAAATTCTAGGATATGTTTCAGAAAATGAAAATAAAACAAAACAGAAAAATAGGACAGAAAATATATGAAAGAAAAAATATATTGATTCAGGGAGTTCAACATTTACATAATATGAGCTGCAGATATAAAGGAAGCAGAGAAAATGGGAAGGGAAACATTATTATAAGAAAAATTCCCCAGTTTTAACTGAAGGACATGGATTTCCACATTGAAAAGAGTATAAGTCATCCAATAGAAGCAAGAAGAGAAACAAAATAAAACAAAACAAAAACTCAGACCAAAGTCCATCATTGCAAAATTTTATCAACTGAACAATAAGAAATGACCCTGAACATTTTCAGATGAAGAGAGAAAGAAAATACAAAGCACTTAAGTAGCTCTGGCCCTTTCAACAGCAATACAGAGTGCAATGAAACAAATGTAAAAATGTTTTAAGATTCTGAGGCATGATTTGCTACCAACTTTATGTCTAAACTAATTACCAACATTGAGAGAAGAAATAAAAATTTCTGACATGCAAGCTGTCAAATTTTCTCTCTCCATATACTTAAAAAACTGCTAGAGGATGCTCTCCAGCAAAGCAAGGGAGCAAATAAGTAAGGAAGGTGAAATATTATCTTCTAGCTCTATATCAATCAGTTCCTAGTTTCAAGCAACAAAAGAGGACTCACATTATATAATTATCTAAATGCAGTTGATCTGGAAGATAATTTATAGAATAGTTGGAAGGGTTAGAAAAGCCACATCACAGCACTGTCACCAAAGAGATGTGATATTTTACAACCCAACTGTTTCTACACCAGGAACCACACCTTACAAATACCGCTATTTCTGCTACTAACAACGAGCACTCCTCATCTCTTCCTTTGAGCATCTTAAACTGAGACAGAGTCCACTATGAACACGTTTGACTGAGCCATCCTGGCTGACACATTTGTATCTTGGATGAAAAGGAGTCTGGGAAAATGAACTGTACTATGCCGTTCTTTACCTTCCTGAAGAATCCTTAAGCGTGGGGATTTCCCTAATTATAGAAAAGGCTTCAGATGCCGGGCATACAAAACAAATAGCAAATAACAAATGTCCTTTTAAGAATGATATCCAGCCTAGGAGAGAGATGAAGGAAAAGTCCTGGAGAACAGCAAGAGAAATGTGAAGATAATGGATGTTCAACAAGCCTGGAGAACAACTGGGCAAGACTGAAGCAGGAGATTTAAAAATTAAATTTCTGGGAAGAATTTTCCAAGAAAAAAAAATAGAACTCATAGATTCTTTGGCAACTCTGATTTAGTGGAAAATGGGACTGAGAAGTTTTGGGAAGTGTGGGAATATTGAGCCATAGCTTATAAGAAACAACAGCAGAAACAACAATGCTAATGGGCATATAACTCCACAAAATATGAACAAGAAAGGAAATTTAATTATAGTGCTCAACTTGGTTCTGAATTAAACAACATACACACAGCCACAATAATTTAAAACTCTGAATAATGACTCAAGTAAAATGTTAATAAATGAGGGTGGTTTGATGGGAAGAGGAGAAATATATATCTGTGAGAAGGACATGAAAGTGTGATGGAGATTAAGAGAGCTAAATCCTCAGTTTTTATAGTAGGAAGTTAATACATAGTATATAAAAGTTATGAAGATATTAAGAATAAGTTATTTTGGAGCCTAGACCTAAACACTAGAGAAGATGGCTAAAAGACTTGAAAGTGGATCCATTAGTGGAGCAGGGAACTGTTGTAAAGGCAATGGACACAATATTGTAGTTTTATACCTTATATTGTTACCTTTTAGTTTTTAAAACATTTCCAAAGTTATTTTAAAAAGTGACACACCTCAATCTGTACAAAATAAAAATCTGTAACTAGGAAGAGCACAGTACTTACTGCTGGTAGAATTACAAATTATATTACTTGTAAAAGCTATAGTCAAAATATAGCAAGAACTATAAAGATTTTTACATGTTTAAACTCAGTAATTCCATTGATGACAAATTGTCATAAGTAAACAATTCAATAAAGCAAATGCTGTTCATTATAAATTTATCTATAGTAGCAAAAAAACACAAAACAAGAAAAGAAAGGATTAATAATTATACTAAACTTAAGGATATAATAAGATTTGCAATTAATATTTGTCATTATAGGTATAATATAGAAATATAGGAAAATATTTATGATCTATAGTTAAATTTAAAAGGAAGAATATAAAGATTATGGGTTTAGCTTATATGCTGTTGGTGGGAATGTACACTAGATCAGCCACTGTGGAAAGCAGTTTGGAGAGCTCTCAAAGAACTAAAAATAGAACTATTATTTGACCTAGCAACCCCATTACTGGGTATATATCCAAGGGAGAATAAGTTATTCTACCAAAAAGACACATGCGCATATGTTCATTGAAGCACTATTCACAATAGCAAAATCATGGAATCAACCCAGGTTGGTGCCATTCAGTGGCAGATTGAATTAAAAAAATGTGGTGTATATACACCATTATACATATAATGGAGGCCCTTATACGAAGTGAATTAATGCAGAAACAGAAAACCAATTATCACATGTTCTCATTTTTTTTTTTTTTTTTTTTGAGACGGAGTCTCTCTCTGTCGCCCAGGCTGCAGGGCAGTGGCGCCATCTCGGCTCACTGCAAACTCCGCCTCCCAGGTTCACGCCATTCTCCTGCCTCATCCTCTGGAGTAGATGGGACTACAGGCACCCGCCACCACACCTGGCTAATTTTTTGTATTTTTAGTAGAGACGGGGTTTCACCGTGTTAGCCAGGATGGTCTGGATCTCCTGACCTCGTGATCCACCCGCCTTGGCCTCCCAAAGTGCTGGGATTACAGGCATGAGCCACCGCGCCTGGCCCCACATGTTCTCATTTCTAAGTGGGAGCAAAATCTTGGGCACACTCAGACATAAAGATGGGAACAATAAACACCAGGACTCCAAAAGGTGGGAGAGTAGGAGAGGGAAAGGGCTGAAAAACTTCCTATTGGGTATACTATGTTCACTATCTGGGTGATGGAATAAATAGAAGCCTAAACCTCAGCACCCCACAATACACCTTTGTAACAATCCTGCACACCTACCCCTGAATCTTAAATAAAAATTGAAATTAAATAAATAAATAAATAATTGCTACCATTTAAACCATGTTTGCGTATGGAAGAAAAAACAGCAAGAGGAAGTAAAAGTAAAAATAAAAAGCAAATTTAAAATGAAAATAGATACACAAAGGAAAAACATCAGCCTGTATAGCCATTAAATAAAGACAATGTACAAACTGAAGAAAATATTGCAACCATTAATGGCAAAAGAACTGATATTGTGTGAACTTTTGCTGCATAGCAAAGCACCCTAAAATTTAAACGTTTAAAACAAAAATAATTTATTTAACTTATGGTTCTGAGGTTAAAATTTTGGATTGGGTATATGGTTCTTCTGGTTTCTGCCAGGCTCACTCATGTTGCCAGGTCTAGATTGGCCTTAGTAATGATGGCTTGTCTCTGCTCCATGTAAAATCTCATCCTCTAGCAGGCTAGTCAGGGCTAGCTCACGTGGTAGCTAGACAGGGCTCCAAGAAACTGAGAGGCACATTCAAGTTCTCTAGGGAACTTGCAGGGAACTGGAACAAGGTAATCTCTGCTACATTCCATTGGCCAAAATAAATCCCAAGCTTAACCTTGGTTCAAATTCAGGGAAAATTGAACTCCAACTTTTCATAGGAAGAGCTGCAAAGTAACATTATAAAGGGAATGAGTACAAGAAGGAATGAAGGAGTATGGTCGTTTTTGGAACTTGCCATAAGTTCTAACACATAAAATTTATTTAACGAGAAAAACCAAAATGCCAACAATCATATATAAAACAGTCTAAAGATGTGATCATATAACTTACCAAGAATAACCACAAAAACTTATTAAACATTTTTTAAAATCACCTCTTAATAAGATAAATGGAAATTCAACTATACTGGGTTACCATATTTTACTTATCAATATAGTACAAATACAAAAGATGGATAACACACTCTGTTGGTAGAAGCTGTGGGAAAACAAGTCTTTTCATACATTGAAGTGAGAATGCAAAATGGTGGTAAAATGTTTGACAATATATAGCAAAATTACATATACATTTATTCTTTGACCCAGAAATTTCACTTCTAAGAATCTGTTCTACAAAGTACTGTGGCAAAAAATATTGATAAAATTATGCAAAATAATTTATTATGTGAAATGTTCATTAAAGTTATAAATTGCATAACTGTTATAATTCTAAGGAAACCCATGGTCATCAATAGCAAACTAGCTGAATAAATTCTAGTAAACTCAAATAATGGAATATATGCAACCATTAAAAGGAAGAAGAGATAGCTTCAGAAAGAGCTGTAATCTTCAAAATTTAATGTTAAGTTAATAAAGAAAGCCATGCTACCATTTATCTAATAAGTCCAATGACTATATATGTATTTTTTTTTAGTCTTAAATGAGAATGAGAGGTTAAACCATAATATTAGTAAAATGCTTGTCTATGGTAATGAGAGGAATAGGATTTAGGGACCAATGACAGAGGTTAGGCTTCTCTGAATATACTTACTTTATAGAAATGTTTTGAACCATGTAAATATTTTGTAATGATAAGATAAAATTATATCAAAATAAAAAACGGCAAATCTCCAAATTCAGAAACAAAATCACACTTACCATATACTTAGTTATTAGCTCAACCAACAAAGAAAAATAATTTCAAGTGACTAAAAATAGTGATTTTTACTTCTCTATCTTGTATGGAATTTACGTTAAAGACAGAAAGAGATAAAGAAAAAAATCCTATATATAATTGGTTAAAACAACATTATAAAGTATTAAATATACAAAAGAGCAATTAAGAAATTTTGAAATTATGAAGTTAATTAAAACCCAAAATAATAAATTAGAATTAGAAATGTTATTATCCACTTGTGGCTTATTTTATATTAAAAATGATATTCATAAGCCTGTCCAAGACAAAATGTCCTAGAAACAATAAGGAAATGTTGTTTAAAGCCAAGCAGAGAAAAAGCTCTAACTTTCAATTTTAATCTCAAAATACCATTTCTCACGAAAAAGAACCAGAAATCATTGAGGTAATGGCTAATGCCAGATTTGGAAAAAGAAGTGTTGAAGATGAGCCTCATAGCAAAGAGTCCATCAAAAACCACGGTGGCCACATCTAGAGAATGAAAAAGACAACTTGAAAAGTCTCTTCATGCTGAAGATGGACTAATTGACTATGAATAAAAACGAAAAGTGCAATAAATTGATAACAATCAAATATGCTAAAATCCATATGTGCAAAAATGAGATTTGGAAAATATATTAATCACTTTAGATGATGGTAGAAAACTAATTTATTACTTAGGGTAAATAGAAAGAAACAAGCAAACATTTAATATGTTTTTCCCACATTAAAAAAACAAAACAAAACACTCAAGGTAAAAAAATACTTGACTGTGTCTCCAAAAGAGAGAGACAACCCGATACTATGTGTCTCTTTACAGAAAATACAGCACTACTTATAAAGTGTTTTTGCCAAAAGTAGTGAGCCTGAATCAGATAAAGACACACAAATAATCTGGTTTTCAACAATTAAATCACAACAAAAGTAATAGGAGGGTTAACTTATAAATTTTAAAATATGCAAAAATAGATACGTGGTTTTATCTTGATAAATTTTAAAATATGCAAAAATAAATACATGGTTTTAACTTTATTTGGATACTGCTTCAAACAAACCAACTGTAAATAAACAGTGCAACCATACACTTGATATTTTACAAAATTAATAAATAATTTCTAATGGGTTTTTAAAAAAAATAATTAAAATAATCCTATTCTGAGTTGACAGAGTAGGAGGAAGTAGAGATGAAGCAAGATAAAAATCAAGATCAGTATCAAGTGACCATATTGTCTTTAAGACATGTGGTTACTTTCCCACTCTCAAAAGGGACAAATACTAGTAATATTTTGCACATTTTCTTCTTGAAATATTTTCTGTGTTAAAATGACTGAAATAAAATGTAAAACTTGCCTGCTCTTTTTTTCCCTTTTTCAACTTTTATTTTAGAATCAGGGGGTATATGTGCAGGATTGCTACAGAGTATATTGTGTGATGCTGAGGTTTCGGGTATGACTGAAACTGTCACCCTGGTATTGAGAAAAATAACCAATAGTTAGTTTTTCTGCCCTTGCTCCCCCTCCCTCTTTCCCACCTCTAGTATCCCCAGCATCTATTGTTCCCATCTTTATATTGAAGTGTACCTAATATTTAGCTCCCACATAAATGAGAACATGTGGTATTTTTCTGTTTTTGCTTTAGTTCACTTATTATAATGGCCTCCTGCTGCATCCATGTCACTGTAAAGCACATTATTTTGTTCTTTACTATGGCTGTGTAGTATTCCATGGTGTATATGTACCATATTTTCTTTATTCAATTCACCATTGATAGGCACCTGGGTTGATTCCATATCTTTGCTATTTTATTTTTTATTTTTTTATTTTTATTTTTTATTATACTTTAAGTTATAGGGTACATGTGCACAACGTGGTTTGTTACATATGTGTACATGTGCCATGTTGGTGTGCTGCACTCATTAACTCGTCATTTACATTAGGTATATCTCCTAATCCTATCCCTCCCCCCTCCCCCCACCCCACAACAGGCCCCGGTGTGATGTTCCCCATCCTGTGTCCAAGTGTTCTTATTGTTCAATTCCCACCTATAAGTGAGAACATGCAGTGTTTGGTTTTCTGTCCTTGCGATAGTTTGCTCAGAATGATGATTTCCAGCTTCATTCATGTCCCTACAAAGGACATGAACTCATCCTTTTTTATGGCTGCATAGTATCCCATGGTATATATGTGCCACATTTTCTTAATCCAGTCTATCATTGATGGACATTTGGGTTGAAAGTAATGGCAACAAAAGCCAAAATTGACAAATGGGATCTAATTAAACTAAAGAGCTTCTGCACAGCATAAGAAACTACCCTCAGAGTGAACAGGCAACCTACAGAATGGGAGACAATTTTTGCAATCTACCCATCTGACAAAGGGCTAATATCCAGAATCTACAAAGAACTTAAACAAATTTACAAGAAAAAATCAAACATACATCCATCAAAAAGTGGGCGAAGGATATGAACAGACACTTATCAAAAGAAGACATTTATGCAGCCAACAGACACATGAAAAAATGCTCATCATCACTGGCCATCAGAGAAATGCAAATCCAAACCACAATGAGATACCATCTCACACCAGTTAGAATGGCGATCATTAACAAGTCAGGAAACAACAGGTGCTGGAGAGGATGTGGAGAAATAGGAACACTTTTACACTGCTGGTGGGACTGTGAACTAGTTCAACCACTGTGGAAGACAGTGTGGCGATTCCTCAAGGATCTAGAACTAGAAATACCATTTGACTCAGCCATCCCATTACTGGGTATATACCCAAAGGATTAAAATCATGCTATTATAAAGACACATGCACACATTGTGGCACTATTCACAATAGCAAAGACTTGGAATCTTTGCTATTTTAAATAGCACTTGGATGAACATATGAGTGCATGTGTCCTCTTAGTAGAATGATAATTTCTTTTGAGTACATACTCAGTAATAAGCTTGCCAGGTCAAATGGTAGTTCAACATTCAGTTCTTTGAGAAATCTCCAAACTGCTTTCCAAAGAGGCTAAACTAATTTATATTCCCACCAACCATGTATGAGTGTCCGTTTTTCTCTGCAGCTTCACCAGAATCTGTTATTTTCTGACTTTTTAAAAAAGCCATTCTGTCTGATTTTTATATACCATACCATCTGTGAGATGATATTTCATTGTGGTTTTGATTTGCATTCCTCTGTGATTAGTGATGATGAGCATTTTTTTATGTTTGTTGGTCATGTGTAAGTCTTCTTCTGAGAAGTTCCTGTTCATGTCCTTTGCCCACTTTTTAATAGAGCCATTTGTTTTTTGTTGTTGATTTGTTTAAGTTCCTTATAGATTCTGGATATTAGACCTTTTTTAGATGCATAGTTTGCAAATATTTTATTCCATTCTGTAGGTTGTCTGTATACTTCCTTGATAGTTTCTCTTGCCAAGCAGAAGCTTTTTAGTTTAATTAGGTCCCACTTCCCAATTTTTGTTTTTGTTGCAATTGCTTTTGGGGACTCAGCCATAAATTCTTTGCCATAAAGGCTGATATTGAAAAGGGTATTACCTAGGTTTTCTTCTATGACTGTTACAGATTGAGATCTTACATCTAAGTCTTTAATCCATCTTGAGTTAATTTTTGTATGTGATCATAGGTAGGAGTCCAGTTTCATTCTTCTGCTTATGGATAGCCAATTAACCTAGCAGCATTTATTGAATAAGGAG
Organism: Homo sapiens; assembly: GCF_000001405.40. Taxonomy (NCBI): domain Eukaryota; kingdom Metazoa; phylum Chordata; class Mammalia; order Primates; family Hominidae; genus Homo; species Homo sapiens. The sequence continues at coordinate 105,188,051 of NC_000003.12, forward strand.
TCTTTTCTCCCCATTGCTTATCTTTATCAAGTTATTCAAAGATCAGGTGGTTTAAATGTGGGCTTTATTTGTGGCTTCTCTATTCTGTTTCATTGGTCTATTTGTCTGTTTTTGTACCAGTACCATGCTGTTTTGGTTACTGTAGCCTTGTAGTATACTCTGAAATCAGGTAATGTGATGCTTTCTGCTTTGTTCTTTTTAGTTAAGATTGTTTTGTTTGTTTGCCATTTCTAACATTAAAAATCAGTTGTGTAAACCAAAGAAAATTTCAGATATTTTATAAAATATCAAAAAGTTAACAATTCAAACTAAGTGAAATTATATCTGCCTCATTCCTCCTTTGTTTTTCTTCTCATTCTTGTTTGTTTTTCACTTATTCTCTATTGATTAAATTTTACCTTCTTTTTCATATTATTTACTTATTCCCACAATTTTTTTTATCAAATAAATTCATCTTTAAGGGAACTTTATGTGGAAGTGCATTATGAATATCCACAGTGAGTATCCAACTTCAGAAAGTGGGATATGTTAATACCAAGTTTAACTGCAATGGTTACTCTGCAGGGTAGTTTTCTAATAGTTATCTACTGGTATATGTATAAAGATTCAATCACAACAGTAACACCAGAGTTCTCACATGGTCCAACTGTTAAATAACTCAGCATCATAAATTTAGCTATTTGCGCATGAACCACTGATGCGCAAAAATAATTTCCTGCTAATCAGTAATAATGACTATATACTCAGTGAGTCACCGTTACACTTTAAGGAGACTGTGCTAATGCATGAATAATTATTGACCGGATTAAGTGTCCAATCTTGCTCTTAGAAAAAAAAAAGCGCACATCATTTAACAATTTAGCTGTGTATTGTCTGTGTGATAAAAGAAAGAGGTAATTTGGATAACTAATGCAGCAGGTAAATTCTGTTAGGCAGTTCCCAAAAGTAGATGATTTCCATCTCCCTTAAACATTTCAGGAACCTACATTTTTCTCTGCCTTGTGTCCTTAATGTGATGCCAACTATTTTCTGGGTTCTTTTCCTCCAGAGGCAAAGGGGAAAAAAAGAATTAGAGAAAATGAAATAGATGATACAGTTTTATCTGTCTCTCATTTAAGAGGACTTGCGGTTCAGAGAAAAGCTGTCACAATTTAACACCACAGAACATTCCTCTACAAGGCCATGTTTCAATGCTATTAGAAAGGTAAGCCTTTTTGGGAAACAAAAAATGTATGGAATTCTATTCCAGATATTTAACAAAGACCAAGTTGGAGTGTGATGAAAAGCAAGCAGCTATTGTCAGGTTACAGTTCTCTCCAATCAAATTGTTACTTCTCTTTATTACCCTAAAATTATCTCCCATTAAGTACAAAGAGAGCATTTTGCTCTCAAGAAATGTTGTGACACTGTAAATCAGATCAAAGATATGAAAGTCTGCAATCTGGAAAGGATAGCAATATTCCATTTATGAATGAGTTTGGCGAGATTAGGGACGCTATGTTAATAGCTGGATAAAAACACTGGGTTTCAAAAATTTTCTTAAATTTAAAATGTACAATGAAAAAATAATTTAAAGGCTGCAGCCAGTCAGTTGGGATAGCAACATAACAAGTCTCACTGAATACTATTATTCAAAATGTTAAGTTCTATCGGGAGAAGGATAATGAACCCAAAATCAGTCAAGGGACATGACAGCAAAACAAAGTTTTTCTCCTTTCAAAGGGAGTGTTTGTTACCCACTATGATACTATATGTTCATCAATTAAACTATACCAGAGGTAAATCACAAAAGAAAGTGTCCCTGTAACAGACATCTAATCAAAACAACTTTAATGACTCTGATGGGTGACGTAAAGGGCTTCCACAATAACTGAAAACCTTTACTGCAACTCTGGAAAGGACATAACATTTTCACTGAATGTTGCATTTGGACATAGTCAAAAATGGAAAGCAGTGGACAAGCTAGAGCCATCTTCCTTTTGGGCATATTGTTCTTATATCTGTTCTGTCCATTTCAAGTATTCGCTTTAATTTTCAGGAGAAATGGGAAGCTAGCTCAGAGGCATTTTGAAACAGCAGAGCAATATTAAATTTGGGTCTCATGAGACAAATATACCTACAAGTTGTTTGGACCTCAATATTAACTCTAGGCTTTAAACACTTAACCTTTCAACTTCTCACTTATTGAATGGCATTCTCTCACATCATGCCATAAGGATACTGACCTCCCCAATGTATCACACTAGTGAGTCACTAAGAATGTTCTGCTCACTTCAGACTGTTAATAACATCTCTGTATCATAGCACCGAATAATAATTATTATTCATTTTGATGACTCTTGGTTATTAATAAAATGAGTATATAATGATCATTATGCTCTGTTGAGAAAGGTAAATCAGTATATAATACCTTTTAGATGACTTCCATCTCAAGTGATCAAAATTTAAAGCTGTGATGAGTAAAGGACAATTTGGTTTATCAAGAAAACTTACTAGCTTGAAACCATTTATTCTCAACTACGTTGTATAAGTTAGGCACTACTACTTCAGCATAACTATGCTTATCAAAATGTTTATTCCAATATAGAATTTTCTCACCCTAAAGAGACTCAATATGGCATTTCTTCCCCTGGAATATGCTCTTGACTAGATTTAGATCAAGTAGAAGTGATTCTGAATGGTGCAAACAAAATATTAGATGAAGATACCCTAATGTTTCTGCACACAGAAACGAAGTTTATGTTTTTCTTGGACTGATTCAGTACAGCAGGATTTGTATTGCTCAAGGTTGTGAGGATTCTATTAGTCTGCCCCATCTTAATTCTGAACATCTCTCTTCAGGGCTTGCTTATCAGGAGAGCTGAAGTAAATATTCCACCCAACTGCCCAGTTAAGCTTCTGAATTCAGGTAGTTCACATAAATGCATATTCTTTATCTTATTGCTGAAATAAGAATATCTCTCCCTTACTGCTGAAATAAAAATCTCTCTCCCTTACTGGCATTGCACAAACATTCTCAATTCTCCCTTTTAGTTGAAATCACTGACTTGGTGAGTATTGCCTTTGTGGTGCTGCAGGGAAATGTGAGGTCACTTCTAGCTTCAGCCCCCTTTCCAGGAGAGTGAACGGGTCTGTCTCACTGGGGTTCCAGGCACCACTGGGGGGGAAAGAAAAAAAAAAAACTCCTGGAGCTAGCTCAGTGTCTGCCCAAACAGCCATCCAATTTCATGCTTGAAACCCAGGGCCCTGGTGGTGTAGGAACCTGAGGGAATCTCCTGGTATACAGGTTGCAAAAACCGTGGGAAAAGTGTAGTATCTGGGCCAGATAGCACAGTTCCTCATGGCACAGTCCCTCACAGCTTCCCTTGGCTATGGGAGGGAGCTCCCCAGCTGCTTGGGCTTCCCGGGTGAGGTAATGCCCCACCCTGCTTCTGCTTGCCCTCCATGGGCTGCACCCACTGTCTAAACAGTCTGAATGAGATGAACCACGTACCTCAGTTGGAAATGCAGAAATCACCTGCTTTCTGCATTGGTCTTCCTGGTAGCTGCAAACTGGAGCTGTTCCTATTTGGCCATCTTGCCAGATACACATCAAGCTACCATTGACTTTCTTCACAGAACTAGAAAAAACTACTTTAAATTTCATATGGAACCAAAAAAGAGCCCGTATAGCCAAGACAATTCTAAGCAAAAAGAACAAAGCTGGAGGCATCACGCTACCTGACTTCAAACTATACTGCAAGGCTACAGTAATCAAAATAGCATGGTACTGGTACCAAAACAGATATATAGACCAATGGAACAGAACAGAGGTCTCAGAAATAACACCACACATTTACAACCATCTGATCTTGACAAATCTGACAAAAACAAACCTGACAAAAACAAACAAACAAACAAAAAAATGGGGAAAGTATTCCCTATTTAATAAAAGGTTCTGGGAATATACAGAAAACTGAAACTGGACCCCTTACTTACATCTTATACAAAAATTAACTCAAGATGGATTAAAGGCTTAAACATAAAACCTAAAACCATAAAAACCCTTGAAGAAAACCTAGGCAATACCATTCAGGACATAGGCATGGGCAAAGACCTCATGACTAAAACACCAAAAGCAATTGCAACAAAAGCCAAAATTGATAAATGGGATCTATTTAAACTAAAGAACTTCTGCACAGCAAAAGAAACTATCATCAGAGTGAACAGGCAACCTACAGAATGGGAGAAAATTTTTGCAATCTATCCACCTGGCAAAAGTCTAATATCCAGAATCTACAAGGAACTTAAACAAACTCACGAGAGAAAAACAAACAACCCCATCAAAAAGTGGGTGAAGGATGTCAACAGGCCCTTCTCAAAAGAAGACTTTTATGTGGCCAACAAACATATGAAAAAAACGCTCATTATCACTGGTCATTAGAGAAATGCAAAATCAAAACCACAAGATACTATCTCATGCCAGTTAGAATGACAATCATTAGAAAGTCAGGAAACAACAGATGCTGGAGAGGATGTGGAGAAATAGGAACGCTTTTACACTGTTGGTGGAAGTGTCAATTAGTTCAACCATTGTGGAAGACAGTGTGGCAATTCCTCAAGGGTCTGGAACCAGAAATACCATTTGACCTAGCAATCCCATTATTGTATATATACCCAAAGAATTATAAATCATTCTACTATAAAGACACATGCACATGTATGTTTATTGCAGCACTGTTCACAATGGCAAAGACTTGGAACCAACCCAAATTCCCATCAATGATCAACTGGATAAAGAAAATGTGGCACATATACACCATGGAATACTATGCAGCCATAAAAAAGAATGAGTTCATGTCCTTTGCAGGGACATGGATGAGGCTGGAAACCATCATCCTCAGCAAACTAACACAGGAACAGAAAACCAAACACCACAATGTTCTCACTCATTAGTGGGAGTTGAACAATGAGAACACATGGACATAGGGAGGGGAACGTCACACACTGGGGCCTGTTGGGGGATGGGAAGCAAGGGGAAGGATAGCATTAGGAAAAATACCTAACGCATGTGGGACTTAAAACCTAGATGACAGGTTGATGGGTGCAGCAAACCACCCTGGCACTTGTATACCTATGTAACAAACCTGCACATTCTGCACATGTATTCCAGAACTTAAAGTATGATAATAAAGAATATATATAATATATGAGATCACTTCTTCTCAAGGCCAGAGTAATCAAGAGACCCCACTGCAAAGACACATTCTCAAGGTATAGCAACATTTAGTGCATGGTCTAGAGCACAGAAGGAGGGAAAGCATGTTGGTGTAATAAATCTTACATTATATTTTGAATATCAAGTGGAATATTTGCTTGTGATCATAGGCCAAATTTTTTAAAAATAATACTCTTTGCCCCATTTTCTTCCAGAAAGTTTTCTGAAGGTGAAATTTAGAAAAACAGTGAATTCAACAATATGTTTTTTAGAAATAACTCACCACAAAAAATAAATTGGATAAGGGAGAAGTAGAGAAATAAAAATATTATGGCAAAAAATCTCAGCTCAGGAAAAGCCCTATAGTATTATGAAAATTTTCTGTCTACCAAGAGAAAGAAGGAAAAAGCCAGCATTTCCATTGTTCTGATTATCAACATATAGAAAGCTGATTGTTATGAGAGACAAAGTTTTCCTACACATGAGATCTAAAGGAACCAACAGTGGACAAATTCAATCTCCAAATCAACACGTTTGTTTGAGGGCCCAGAGCAGTGACAGAGGCTAACACAAATGGGCAGATTTCTCAAATATACACTACAGACTAGGACAGAGAGGTCTTCATGTCTTTCTCGTCTCTTTGACCATATTTCTGTAATATGAGATATTGCCAAACAGCTCTTTAGCTTCTGTTGTGTCTTGTGGATGATGGGCATACTTCTCCAAGAAGAGCAAAATTAGCACAATTAGAGATTTGTGATGGTGAATTTTATCTGTCAACTTGAGTGGGCCCTAGAGTGCCCAGAGAAAACATTGTTTCTGGGTGTGTCTGTGAGGGTGTTTTCTAATGAGATTAGCATTTGAATGGGTGGTTTTAGTAAAGTAGATTGCTCCCCACCCCCACCTCCTAGTGTGGGTGGGCATCATCTTATCTGTTGAGGGCCCCAATAAAACCAAAGGCAAAGAAGAGAGAAATTCTTCCATTTTCCTTTCCCATTGTATGAGCTGGGATATCTCACCTCATCGTCTCCAGCCCTCAAACTGGGATGTACTTCATTGGCTTCCCTGGTTCTCAGTCTTTCAGAATCAAAATGAAAACTTATGCCACCAGCTTTCCTGGTGAAAAGCTGGGAATGCAGGTTGCACATAGCAGATCATGACTTCTCAGCCTCCGTAACTGAGGAAGACAATTCCTCATAACAAATCTCACATATTTATCTATTATATCTATCTATTGATCAATTGATCTAACTCCTATTGGCTCTATTTCTCTGCAGAATCCTAACCCAAGATTCAGACTAATGGGAATAATTTCAGTTAGCTAATATCTAAAATTTTGCTCTCTTCCCAACTTAGGCTGTTGCCCTATAGTCATTCTTATTGACATCTCCAGTTCTACAAGAAGAGAAAAAGGAGACAAAAGGTTAGTTTTATAACTTCTTTGAAGCTCTCTTCAAAGATTTGGTGAGCAAAAAAATTAGAAACATAGACCCAATGGAGCTTTAGTAGACACTGTAGATTTCTACCTTCCAGTCTCTCCATGCTGCTTATAATTCACTCTAATTTAGTAAAGATTTATTGAGCACCCACACGTGAAAGTGCTAGGACACTGTTCAGGCAGGGTTCAGACAGTGCTAGGAGCTACAATGATTGAAAAAGAAATATATGGAATGATTTCTTTCCTAGAGAACCTTTAATCTTATTAGAGAGAAAATACACATAGATTTTGAAAAAGTAGAAAACTCTAATACAGCAAATGATTAAGGACACAAGTGAAAAATATAACAAAATAATATTAGAAAAGGACAACTCACAGAAGATATAGGACTGGGACCAAACCTTGAAATAAAATTGGTAATCCAGTCAGGGAACGTAGCATCAACCAACCCACGAAGAAAAGGGTAAGTATTAGACTACTGGAGATCAAGAACTGTATACTGAGAGGACTGAACAGTTGACAGCAAGAGATAAACATGGATAGTAATAATTAATGGTAAATAAAAGAAAAATGATGTACAGTGGTCAGAGAAGAAAGTATAGAAGTTGCCCTAATCAATGTATGTAATTTATATATTAAATGTCATCATATAAGTTCTTATAACATAAACTAAGACATTGTTTTATTTCTGCATCAACATGAGTCTGTAGGAATTGAAGGGTTAAATTTTATTTCCTTTCTGTACTGACTGGCAGAGTGAGTCAGAAATTCTGGCAAGCTCTGAGGGCAAGACATGTTTTACTTTTGCTTAAAAACATTAGCAACTATTAAAATAATTCTCTTCATTTCATCTGTTATACAATAGGGAGGAAATGCATAGAAAAAAAACACATATACCCAGGATCCATTAGTCCTTTCACAGCTGGGTAGAAATGAAATCCTGCTTTATCAAAGTAATTGGGTTATTATATGAGACTAACTTCATTCTAGACCCCTTTTCTCTCTGTGGAGAATTCATAAGCGACCAGCTTTCATATTCTCACCTCACTACACCCCCTTTTAAGAATATTTACTTTATACCTGAATAGGTAATACATATATTTTGTTGCTTAAACTACAGCTTATTATTCATTCAATAATTATGTGAGTGCCCACTCTATGTCAGGTACTCTTATAAGTACGAGAAATAGAGTGATAAACACAGAGACTAAAGTCCCAGTCATTGCGGAATTACACACCAGTGAAGAAAAACAGCAACAAACAAGGAAGTAGAAGGTAGATATAATTACTTCAGCCTGTGTTTTGTGCTATAAAGGAAATAAGCAGGGTGATATGACAGAAAGTAATGGGAAGGGGCCAAGATCTTCCTTTGAACAGAGTGGTGAGGGAAGTGATCCATGAGGATATACCCTGAAGTTTAGCCCAAACCATGTAAAGAAGCAGTAGATACAGCTGGAATCAGAGGAAGAACATTCCAGGCAAACAGAACAGCAAATGCAATAGTCCTGAAGTAGCTGCAAAGAGCCTGGTATGTTCAAGGAAAAGAAAAGGGGTCAGTGTGGCTTGCCTACGGGAGCTAAGAGGGAAAGTGAATCACATGAGCTCAAAAGTTGGAAATGGACTTCATTACGGAGAGTTCCGCAGGATTTGCTTAGAGGAGAGAATTGGGGAGAAAAGGGTAGATCAGGCAAGAAGTTGAGAAGTATAGGAGAAAAAAGAAAAATAATCCTCATACAAGGTTAAAAGAAATCTTCCAAAACCTCTCTATCTTGACAAAATTGTACTCTTCAGTTTGCCAGTTTCTTAAGTAGGGAATTTTATTTTTAATTAGCTATTTTAAGCCATGAAAGGCTATAAGACAAAATGAATTAAAATTTCATTTTCTTTTTGTCCTGGACTGTTTCCAAGAATGTATATATAGAGGAATCTAGATGGAAAATTTTCAAACCATTACTTACCTAAATTATACAAATCTTTATTATTACTGCATACTTTACTATTACAGGCACTAAGAATTTGCAAAAGAAGACAGAGGCATGGTTCCTACCCTCACAGAACTATAATCTATTTGAGAAAACCTCCATAAATGCAAAAATCAGAGAGCAATGTTGTGACAAACATCTAAATCATAAGAAGAGATCAGCACAAATCGTATGCTTCATTTTTTAAAAAGATTGTGGAATGATATAAAAATTACTGTGGGGTGAACTTATCTGAAAATACTGTGTAGAATAGTTGAGGCAAAGCCAAGTTGTAAAAAACAAAACAAAACAAAAACAAAAACAAACAAAAAAGTATAGGGGGGATTGGATTTTAAATGGGATAACATTCACAAAGTTGGAATTTGGTATTGAGTTTCTAGGGGAGGACAGGGAGTATGACTTAAGGTTTACTCTAAATAATGCAAAGCATTGAAAATAATTAATCAAAGAAAGATGAATTAACTTAATAGAAGTCCTGTACAACTAGACTAAGGAATTTGTATCCAGAAATTGATAGAAACCTACTAGACTTTTAAACAGTAAACATAAAAGTGGATTTTATTTTCTAATAACAGATTAGAAAAATAACAAACACGTGTACTGCTCCCCATATGATAGATACTTTAATTAGTCTCCTTGAAATCCTTATAGTGTCTCTCTGAGGTAGACCATTAACCCAGGTAATAGTAAACGAAAAAAAGGGCACCAAAGCTTATCTAACTTGCTCAGTGTCACCATATAATCTTTCATAAAACCAGACCAAGAAACCCCTGAGTATCTCTTGCTGATCAGGATTTTGACTTTATCAAATAATAACCATTGCATCTATTTTATAAGCAAATATGGTAAATGAAAGGAAATCAGAGATAAATATCAGGTTGAAGGGTATGGTACCTGTGGGTTGGGGGTCTACACCTCAATGCTAAAAGTGTGAATGGGGAGGAAGGTACAAATATAAGGGGTCTTGTAAAGAATGATGGTTCAATCTTGGAAACTATGCATACACCAATGAAAGAGAATAAAGGAAAACAAGTTCATTTAGGAAGCCTGGAGGATAATAATGTAGTTGGCACAAATGCACAAATTGTTAACAAGGGTTACTTAGTGATGAAAAATAATGGAGCTTGGGATATAGAGTTGAAGAAAATGTAACAATTTCCCTAGGAAGCTGTTCATAGCTATCCATAAAGCAGGTAAAGAACCAATTTGGAGCTTCATATCAAGTAGACTTTAAGTCAAAGTAACTTAAAAAAAGATAGAAATCTTTTTTTAGCTTTAAATCTGCAAAGATTAAGACCAAGAACTGATCTTGATTTAACTTCAGATAAACTAGAGGAACTGTGTCTAAGACTAGTCATTCTGGCAGGTGAAGGGGTCAAGCTCTATAGTAAACGTGACATTTTGTTCAAACTGAGCAGCCCATCTGCTCTCCTAGGCTAATAGTGCTGCAGTTCACAAAAAGAGCATAGCTTGGTCACCTATGACTAAATTTGGGAAGCAGGCAAAAAATAATGGATGGTTTTACCTCGGCAGAATGCAGAGTAGAAGTGGGGGAAGACAAAAATGAGTAAGATAAAAGATTGAGAAGGTCAGCTTTCCATTAATAAATGCTTTGGCTCGTTATTCTTTCATCCCTCTTATCTTGGGGGTTAAGGAGGTTCATCTCTCTTATCTTGAAACGTCCCTTTCACTTTGATTTTAATGCTGTTATACCAGAGTAATGATGCAAAAGGTAACTGCATGCTAAAATCGCCTCTTCTTCTATTTCTGAAGACCCATAACAATAGATGCTAACTGGTTCTGAGACAGCCTGCCCTAAAATCAAAGAGACGGTCATTTATTTTTCAAAATAACTAATTCGCTTATGATCCTCTTCTTACCATATATGTCCTTTCCTTCTCATAGGAAAACAAAAAACAAAACAGCAAAAGTAGGTTGTCACAAAGACCTCATTTAACACTAGTCTTGAAGAAAAATCAGTTTAAACTTCTTTGACCCTGCAAAGATCCCAAAGAAAAGATACCATAGCAGGGAGTGAGAAAAAAGGATCCTTCCCACTCAAGTCACAGCAATGCCATATGTTCCACAGTTCATGAAGAAAACTCAGTAGAAAAATCTTGACCCGCCATCCTAGTTTCATTTCAGCAAGTCATCAATCTACAAATAATAATCTGAATAAAGATTCATGGCACAAACCTAAGATTTCATTTTATTGATATAGGCTGCGGTAATGCAGATATTTGGGGCCAACATTTAATGTCTTACCAGATTTTGTTCAAGATGTATATTTATGTAATAGAAAAAGAAGAATTTTTCCCCACATGTGATATATATAGCAATTTACTTGCTTGCCTAATAATACTTTTGTATATTGCAAATGAAAGCTATAAAAATATGGACTCACAGGTTGTCTTTTAAACCCTTTAGCCGGAAGGAAAATAGCTAACTACTATCTGCAATTCTCATATCATCTCCTTTATATTTCTTTTTTTAGTCTCTCTCTTTTATCTTTTTTCTCTTTCTTTTTTTCAATAAAGTAGGAGAATGCTGGAAACCTTTGATTTCTCAAAACCTTATTTGATTTTCTATTAGCTCCATAGATAGCTAGTAATCAAGATAAAAATTATACAAAAGTATCAGGCTACTATTTTAAACCTGAAGAGCCTACTAACTATATAGCTTTGTGAAAGATATTGAAAAGACAAGTGTTTTCTTTTGTACTGACTTGCGATAAATTTGGTATTTCCTTTATGAAACAGCTTTCAGGTTTTTCAAAATGGTTGCAATTTGAAGTCACAAATGGCTTATTTGTGTCTTTATAAAATGTTTACCAAGACCCAGTCACCAAACTCTGTGCTACTCACACAGGCAGAACACATTATTTCTAAAATATAATATTCTTTAATCTTTCGTGTCAGCAGTCGTTTGTCTGACAAATTCATGCACTTAGTACCTGGCTAAAACAAAATAATGCTATAATAACACCACCAGAATCCTCTCCACCTTAAAGACACTGAAAGCAACTTGGTTTTCAGGATGCCTGGCAGTTTCCAGCCATGCATGCAGCATTTGGGATACAGAGCCATTTTATTATTTGGTCCTGTTGTCTTACCTTCAAAGTCCATGTGAAAGTAACTCACATTCAGGTTAGTTAAGTCTCTTACAATGAAAAATTACTTTTCTACAGTAGAGTATGTGGATATGGAGGAGGTGCTAATGATGTTATCTGCTGCATAATTTACAACCACTTGTTGTTTTTGCTGTCAAATGATGCCAACAGACTCACTCAAATACATTCACTTTCCTAACTGGATTGCCACACTTGGTGGGACAACATTAGAAAAGCTTACTGTGATGAGCTTTCCATCAAAAGGTTAGCATTTTGTTCTCATGTTAATAAACATGAAAAATGGTCGAGATTTATTTATTAATTTATTTATTCCTTTAAAGGAAATAACCATTGTCCTGCACTGTAGCACACACCAAGTACATAAGAAGATAGAAAGTCATGTGGTTCTATCCCAGGTCATACATTAAGGTAAATACCTGCTGGCGATGTGTAGTGTTGTTTTAAATATAATATTTAAGAAGATTTAAGTAAATTTAGAAGAGTTGATGAAATGCTTTATTTCTTTTTTACTCTTTTCTTCAAATTTTAAATTCAGGGGAAAGTGGCCTGTCTCCAACTCCAGGGTTAAATCTTAATTGGACTAAGCCAATTATAAAACCCCCAAGTTACGTTTCAAATGACTGATTTAAATAAGGGTATCTGACACAATTTTGGCCAATAAAACATGGGAGGAGTTCTACTAGGAACTTCTGAGGGAAGTTCCTTACTGATATAAAGGCAGATGTACATGCTGACACTGGCATATCTGCATCTAAGGCCTGGAACCACAACACCCGTATTGTGATCACAAAGGGGACCAGGTGAGGAAAAACCCAATACACTGAGGAAACAAAAGATGAAGACGGAAGATCTCTTTGCCTTGATGACATTTTTAATTAACTAGCTCTGGGACCGCTCACCTTACAACATTCTGTTATGTGAGACTGTAAATATTAATTACTGTTTAGGCTATTCCAGTTGGAATTTTTTTTCATATTTAGCTGAAAACCACAACCACCTAACTGGAAAGAAAACAAAAAAAAATTATAAATTTGATCTTCAATGGGAGAAAGAGAATCATGAATTCAGGAGGGATTGAAAAGCTTTTTAAAACTACTTATCCAAATCTGTTTAGTAGCACTTTAGTTTTGTCAAAAGAGCACTGAATATGTTTTAAAAATATTTTACACCGAAATTTCTCATACTCAGAAGCCATCAATGTAAAAAGAGGCTGGATCCCTTTTGTATTAGTCCATTCTCACATTGCTATAACGAAATATCTGAGACTGGGTAATTTATAAAGAAATGAACTTTAATTGGCTGACAGTTCAGCAGGCTGTAAAGGAGGCATAATGCTGTCATCTGCTTGGCTTCTGGGGAGGCCTTGGGAAATTTACAATGATGGCGGAATTGGGAGGCAGCACTACACATGTCCAGAGCAGTAGAAAGAGAGTGGCAGGGTGGGGAAGGTGTCACACACTTTTAAACAACCAGATCTCAGGATAACTCATCATCACGATGACAGCATCAAGGCAGGGTTGGTGTGCAACCATGAGAAACCACCCTCATGATCCAATCACCTCCCAACGGGCCCCACCTCCAGCACTGGGGATTGCAATTCAATATGACATTTGGGCAAGGACACAGATCCAAACCATAGCACCTTTGGTGATATAAAAAAGCAAGTATATAGAGTTAAGATTTCCCCAGTCTTCACAAAGAGCCCTTTTATCTTCTATTAAGTAAATATAAACTGTATAAAGAGCAATTTCTTTGAAAGGATGTTGGATACTCAAAGATCCAAAGCTCCATTATGATCCATCTATTAGAGTGTTACAGGGTTATCTAATAATGGGACATCCAATCCATTCTGTTTTATATAGACACATTGTAATTGCCTTTCAGTTTCTGAATGTGAAATCAGAACGGGCATGCTTTATAGTTGGTGAAATTCTCACATTAATGTCCATGATAAACTCAGTGCTCCCAATTGCACAAAGTCATAAATTGGGAGACCCCAATAGAAATCCAGCCTAAGACAGAAGTAATACTATCTTAAGACAGAATTACTACGTTTAGGATTGATTTTGAGCAGTTTCAGACTGTACAAATTAGCTACACAAATAAGTGGTTCAGACTCCTATGTCATCTATCACTTTTGTATCTATGTGTCTCCCTTAGCTTGTACCTCTGGCCTTATATAAGGTTCTCTATGATCACCTATCAAAGAAAGAATAATGGCCAAGTGCAGTGGCCCATGCCTTTTACCTAGCACTTTGAGAGGCCAAGACAGGCAGATAGCTTGAGCTCAGGAGTTCGAGACCAGCCTGGGCAACATGGCAAAAGCCTGTCTCTACAAAATAAATAAATAAATAAATAAATAAATAAATAAATAAATAAACAAACAAACTAACTTATGCTTGATTCATAGAATTGATCTGCTTGATATGTCAATCGCAGCTGAAAACTGATGCTATTGTACTGTAACTGGAATGAAGAGTAACCCTGAAAAACAGGCTGATTTCAATTTGCATAATATTCCAAAAGTTCTTCCGACATATACTACAATATGCATAACTTTTAAAGCTGATTAATAATCTATTGTATTTATATAACTTTGCTTATCCATTCATCTTTCAGTGGCTTTATAAAACAAGTTACTGTCTAGTGTCCTTTAATTTCAACCTGCGGGACACCTTTGAGCATTTCTTATAGCACAGGTCTAGAGGTAACAAATTCTCTCAGCTTTTGTTTATCTGGGAATGCCGTAATTTCCCCCTCACTTTTGAAGGACAGTTTTGCTAAATATAGGATTCTTGGTTGGCTGTTTTTTGTTTGTTTTTCTGTTCTAGCACTTTGAATATACTAGCCCACTTCCTTCTGGCCTCCAATGTGTCTTGAGAAATATCTGATAATTCTATTGAGGATCATTTAAATATGAGGCATTGAATCTTTCTTGCTGCTTTCAAGAAGGTTTTATTATAATGTGTTTCAATGTGGTCCCTTTAAGTTCACCTTATTTAGAGTTTGTCACAATTCTTGGATGTATATATTCATGTATTTCTTCAAATTTGGAAAGTTTTAGCCATTACTTCTTCAAATATTCTCTCCTCTTTCTCTTCTCTTTCGAGAACTGCCACAGTGCATATATTTATCCACTTGAGGGTCCCAAAGATTCTTTATGCTCTGTTCACCTTTCTTCAATTATTTTTCTTTCTGTTTCTCAGATTCTATTATTTATATTGTTCTAGCTTCAAATTCAGTGGTTCTCTCTTCTGCCTACTTAAATATGCCTTGGAACACCTGTAGTGAATTTGTCATTTCAGTTATTGTACTTTTCAACTCCAACATTTTTCTTGTTGTTTCTTTTTAGATTTCCAATCTCTTTATTGATATTTTCTTCGGGCTCGTCCATCATTTTTATTAACATTCTCTACATCTTCTTTTACTTCTTTGAACATCTTTAAGACAGTTGTGTTAATGTCTTTGTGTAGTAGATCTGCCATAGATCTTTATCAAGTTCAGTTTCTGTTGATTTATTTATTTTTTTCTTTGAATGGACTATACTTCCGAGGGGTTTTTTTTGGATGCCTTATTATTTTTTGTTGAAAACTGGACATTTGAAAAAAAATAATTATATATTAGTGTATTATATAATATTATTTCATGATCTGGAAATCAGGTTCCTCCCTTTCCCAGAGTTTGCTGGGTTTTGTTAATCTTTGTGTTTATTATTTTTAAATTGTTGTAGGCTATCTTTGAGTCAAGGATCAGTCTGCGATATAAACTTAAGGTCTTCTCCTGTGTTTTTTGAGCCTGTCACTTTTGCTGGGTATGTGCAGCCACTTTCTAATTTTCCCCCATGTGTAGTTGCTTTTGAATCCTATTCTTTAATGTCTCGCTCCCAAAAAGGTAAAAATGAAAGTAGGGAGGACACTAGACCTTTAAATCCTCTGAACATCACTTAAGATAAAGGAGGAGTGGCATGCACAATGGGGGGAGGTGCAAAAACAATGTCCTCCTGCTTTTTTGTCTGCATCTCTGTGATTAAAAGCATCAGCCAGTGATCAGTGCAGATCTCCACTGTTTGGAGGACAGCGTCGTTTTTGCACCCAATGGATACTTCTAGCAGTGTGCAAGCTGCCCCAGAAAGGTGCATAGCTGCCTGATACGGAGTTTGGGGTGGAGGATGGGTAGCTGCTACTGTGTTAAGAGCTGAAGTTAACTTCAATTTACTGTCCAACGTTTCCCCTAAAAATTGCAAGCCTTCAATAAACTCTTGAGTTCCAAAACAATTACATTAGACATATTCTGCCTATGCAATTGCTATCTAATTGCAGAAATAGATTCCTGGAGCTTTCTACTCCAACACTTTCCCAGAATCCTCCTCTCAGCTACATTTTGTGAAGAGAAAATTGGTCCATGATAAAACTCATATAGATTTATGGGCAGTGTCTCATTACTTGACTGGTTGGCCAGGAACCTGAAGAAGCAAAATTGGAGTATTGGAAATAAGCAGGTGAGGGAAAACAGCATTTGGAGGGACTGCATACAAAATACTGCACAATTCATTCATGGTTGACCAGAAAGAGTGATTAAATGAACTCATAGTTGTGAGATATCAGCTTGGAATTACAACCTACAATGATAGAGCAATATCCTTCAGGATGCATAACCCAATGGCCACTGTATGGTACTGTATCCCCATTAGACAAAATGCATGGGTCCAAGAACCAAGACAAGTGACTCCCCTGACTCCTTTTCAATTCCAACAACCCACCTGGAATTTCTGCCTTCTTTCCTGTCATATCTGGATTCTTTAAAGCTGGAAGTCTTCAATCTGAGAGGAATGATACTTCCACCAGGGGACACAATAGAGGCAGCCATGACTACAATCAGATTGAGTCTCTTATTCCAGTACATCAGCAAAGAAAGGAATTATCATACTAGCAGAAGAATTTGACCCTTGCCATAATTAGGAGGTAGGGTTCCTCCTACCTACTGTAGACCAGGAGGAATGTTTGACACCCAGGTCATACACTAAGGCAGTTATCTGCACTAAGTAGAACAGCTTTGTGAATTGAGAATGGAAAATAACTGTGTCAAAGATTGGTCCAGTGAGAGCAGAACTTCTTCCTTAGAATGTACCACACCTGTATGTACAGTGAAGATCATAGTGACAAGATGTATAGAAAATTAGAAGTATTTTCCAATTTCTTTTCTCTGGACTAGGTAAATCTCCCAGAACTCTTGAATGATTCTGGAAAAGAAGCAGTAACTAACTACCAATAAGCATGACTGATATTCTGTTTCCTAGATACTACCGAAAATATAGGAGTTCAAGCCAGATTATTTAAATTTAGGAAGCATCAAGATATAAGTTATTTGTATTCATTCTATGTATTGTCATGTTATGGAACAAGTTCCTGCTTAGTATCTGTCCAAATTCTATATTTAGTTTTATTTCATCTGGTAATAATGATACTAGACCACGAGATCTACCAGACAAGGATCTGCCTCTAAGTTACTAAAATGCATGTAAAATACTAAAATGCTTTTTTTTTCAAATTTCTTTAAGTATGTAATTCATTTACACAAGAGGTCTTCAAAAAGTTCATGAAAAATGCACATTAGGAAAAAAACTACACATAGATTTCAAAACATTTTTTTCACCACAACAAATGTATACTAACTTGTTACAATGCATCTGAACAGCATCTAGTTTGAAGTACAGAAAAGGATCAGTTTGAAAAGAAACCCTATCAGAACAACATGAATTCTGCTAAAATGGAAGCAAGAACAAATATAAAACTTATAGTGAATGTTGTGTAGAAGAGTGGTGAAATTATTAATGCTTTACAAAAAGTATATGAAGACAATGTTTCCAAGAAATAATCAGTTTACAAATGGATAACCCATTTTAGAAGGAATTAGATGATGTTGAAGATGAAGCTGGCTGTGGCAGAGTATCCACATCAATTTGCAAGAAAAAAATTCATCTTGTTCATGTCTTAGTTGAAGAAGATCAACAATTAACAGAGAAACAACCGCCAACACCACAGACATCTCAAGGGCTTCATCTTACACAACTCTGACTAAATAATTAAAGTTAAGTAGATTTTTCACTTGATGGATGCCAAAACCATTGCACCCATATCAGCTATAAACAAAAGTACAGCTTTCAATGGAAATTTTAAACAATCAATGTCAAGATCCTGAAGGAGTTCTTTGAAAAATAATAATACGAGATGAACTATGACTTTGCCAGTATGATCCTCAAGATAAAGCACGATTATAGCAATGGCTGTCAAGAGGTGAAAGTGGTCCAGGCAAAGCAAAAGAGAACAAGTCAAGATCAAAGATTATGGCAATAGGTTTTTGGGATGCTCAAGGCATTTTGCTTGCTGGAGGGCCATAAAACAATAACATCTGCTTATTAAGACAGAGTTTTGAGGAAGTCGGTAATAACTTTAGCAGAAAAATGCTTAGAAAAGTTTCACCAGAGAGTCCTCTTCTATCATGACAATGTTCCTGCTTACTCCTTTCTTCATACAAGAGCAATTTTATGAGAGTTTCAATGGAAAATAATTAGGCATCTGCCTTATAGTTCTGATTTGGCTCCTTCTGTCTTATTTTTGTTTCCTAATCTAAAAAATCTTTAAGAAACACCTACTATTCTTCAGTTAATAATGTAAAAGGATTGCATTGGCATGGTTAAATTCCCAGAAACCTCAGTTATTTAGGGATGAACTGAATGGTTGATATTATTGCTTACCAAAGCACCTTGAACCTGATGGAGATTATGTTGAGAAATTAAGTTTGTATTTTTTATTTTTATATGTTAATTCCTTTTCTCCATGAAGTGTTTAAAGTGCCATTGTGTGTGCATATGAGAGGTCTGTATGTATGTATAGGCATAAATAAAAATACACATATGTTTACATATTTATATTTACATATAACATCTTTTTATAACCAGATACTTAAGATCCAATTATTTTGATTTTGTTAGTATTTTTTAAATATATTCTAAAATGTTTAAAGTTATTTTTCCTTTTTAGTGATGTTTTTATATTTTTTCTATTATAGAAGATGCTTAGAAAGAGATGGGCCTGTGTTTAAAGGCTAGCTTAGCAGTGATTTTTCTAGCTATGTAACCTTGAACAAGTTAAATTCTTTAGTACTTAGTCACTTTATCAGTACTATCAATAATATTGAAATTATTCTTTATCAATAACGATTCTTACCTTTAGGGTTCTTGTGAGTATCAGATGAAATAATTTATGCAAAATATATAGCATATAACTGGCACTAGGTGGATTTTATTCTTTTAAAAAGGAATAATTAATTACTCAACATATCCTATGATGGGTGTTTTTAAAAAAAATCATTAATGGCTCCCAGAGTTATGACATATATAGGGCCCACCGAGTTTATAGTGTTTCTTTGTTACTCATTGGTTATAAACATCTACTGTGAAGCTGCCCAGGTCCATCCTCATAGATGTACCATGTAGTCCTTTTTTGCAGGCTTAGAAAGAGTGCAGGTTCTTTCTGCTAATCTCAACTTCCCAGTAGTAGACAATACCTCTATGGTTTGTGTGAAAAGTATCTAATTTCCCTGCTTGTTTCCAAGTGCTTTTCCTGGCCCACCCCCATCACACCTCTATACCCATGTATTAATTAGGAATAGGCTAAACTGTGAATAACAGGAGCCCAAAATGACAGTGGCTAAATAAAAGTACAATTCTCTCTCATGCAGATGTCAGCAGTGGTTTGTCCTGAAGTTATAGGATGTACCTGCTACAATAAATCTTCCTACTATGTTGTTCTGCTATTCCTGACCACCATTACCAAGACAAATTCATGGACCAAAATAGCCACACTGACTTCAGCTATCATGCCTACATTCAGGAAGACAGATGAGGCAAAGAAGTAAATAGAGGCAAAGTGTACATGCAGATTGACTGAAGAAAAGTGCCCAGATCTGGAGTATAATACATTACCCTAGATGAAATTTATTCACGTGTCCAAACCTAATATGCATAGAAGTGTAGGAAATAATTTTATTTATTTCTAGGCAGAAATGTCTAGAACTAAAAGTGTAACTATTCCTATGGAAGAAGGGGAACAGAGATATTGGAGAAAATTAACTGTATCTGGCATGAGCCACCAAAAACTGCCTGACTTAACCTGAAAATTATCTAAATCTTCCTCAAGGCTTTGACTTATGGAACATAAAAATCAGTAAGGTGTGCAGGCTATTTCCACCTTCTGCCTTTCTTCATATCTCCTCTGAGGCACTAAACAGGAGCAGGCCTCCTTCATAAATAGATAAAGAAAATTCAAGGGGAAATGAGACTTAAAACATCTGAAAAGTTATGGAACTATATATGTCAAGTGGCTGACTCAACAAGTACTCAATAAGAGGTAGTCATTATAAATTATTATCCTGGTTAATCCAGGGTATTATACAAAACACATGATACTTTTAAAAATCTATATAGTGGTTCCACTATTACCTTCAGATTCTTCCTGGTCTACTGTTACAATTACTTTACATTAACTTTAAAGTGGAAAAACAAATGAATAAATATATAACCCTACTCACAACTCACAAAATTCTCCTTTATAGGCACATCTACCATCAGAACATAGCATTTTTTGTTCATTTTGTTTAGATATTGATATAATCTACATATGTATCAGGGATAATGATAATACATTGTAGTGGAAATAAACCCTGGGCTAGAAATCACAAATAAATTATTGAAAGAAAGTGGTAATACAATTTTTAGTTATTAGTTCTTTGACTTTGGGCAAGTAAATAATGTTTCAAGTTTTTAACGCAAAATTTTCAGCAACTAATCAACTTATATTCTTGTTTTAATGTTTGTTTCTATTCCAAGGTACCTTATTTACTCTACAGGTGATTCATTAACATTGAATACAACCAACAGCACCACAACTCATGTGTGAAGAAAGCTTCTCTAATACATATATTTTCTCCAAATAGTACATCATACCCTTCTTGTGCTTAGGAACGCTGGACAGCACTTCTCACGGTGTTCCGGGAAGATATTAAACAGCAAATCACCAAAAAAAAAAAAATCACAAAAAATGTGAAAAATGTGACATTAAATAGACTACAAAAGCACACTAATTTACAGCATAAGACTTAATATGAGAAGGCAGAACTACTGCTACTGCCTTATTCAGTCTGAGCTAGGAACATGTATATTGGCAATTGAAATTTTTTACCACTCTGCACATGTGCATGTCCACAAATGGCTATGAACGTGCTTAAAGGATTAATTTGGGATTAGAAGTAAATTTTATTGAGTAGACAAATCTGCAAATATGGAATCTACAAATAATGAGACTTAACTATCCACACTCCTCCCCTAAACACAAACATACATACTTATATAAAAGTAATTCCTATTTTAATAACAGTATAATATTCCGTAGTATGAGTGCACTACATTTATATAAACATCATTGAATGCATGTTTGCTCTGTCACTATTCCCTTTTGAATATTTGTGCCGATGCCAATATCTTATCTTTATAAGCAATGCTGCAATAAATATCCAGGCACATTTATCCTCAGAACATTTATATTTATAGAAATTTATGAAAAATGACATTTCTGGAAAAGACTATTGTTTTTGTTTGAAATAAAAGATTATTGTTTTTATTTGTGTATTGTTTTTATTTGAATATAGAGTTCTTTAAAAGTAATTTTTTAAAAATGTAGCAATCAACACTCTAACTAGAAATATATAGAAGCACCAATATAAGGGAAAGTTACTTAACCTAGTTATCCATACTTCATTTGCAAAAAGTAAAAACACATCAATTTCACATAATTGTAATAAATCTATGAAATAATATATGTGGAAATATCATATATGCTTAAGTGTTATGTATCTACTTACTTGAAGTTGCCCTGTTATGAGTATTCCATTAAAACAATGAATCAATATTTAACCGTTTTCCTAATGGGCCTTCTTCAGGGTATTTACGTTTATTATTATTATATCCTTCTGGATCTTTTTCCTGAGAGGAGGTAAATAACATTTTCTTTACATATTTTCTGGAATAATTCTATTTTTTATTTAAGATTATAAAATAATAAACTTTTTCTAGAAACAATTCTAATAGGCAAATAATGTTCAAACATGTATATGAATATATCACTATATTTATATTGCCCTATATAAGACATTTAGATTTTTTCTGAAACATTATATTCAATTAACCTTATTGCTGTATAATATTGTACAATAAACTTAACTCATTTAAATTGTACAATTCAATGAATTTTGATAGTTATATACATTTTTAAAGCCATTACTGCAATCAAGATACAGAACATTTTCTCTCCCTAAAAGAATTTTCTCATGCACTTATGTAGTCAGTTCCTTCTTCCACCCCAGAACCCTCAGAATGGAATGATCTGCTTTCTGTCACTGTAGATTTGTCTGCATTTTATAGAAGTTCATGTAAATGGAATTATAGCATGTGCACTTTTTTCTGTCTGGCTTCTTTCAATGAGGATACTATTTTTGATATTCATATGTGTTGTGTGTATGCCTGGTGCATTTTTATTGCCAAGTGCTGTGCCATTTTTTGAATATACTATCATTTTGATTATCCATTTACATAGTGATTGAAATTAGCGTGTTTTCCACTTTGGACCAATTTAGAATAAAGCTGCTATGAACATTGATGTAAAAATTTTTGTGTGTTCAGATGCTTTCACTGTGAAAGTACAAGATACTGTGGTAAGTACATGTTTAACTTTACAAGGAAACTAACAAATAGTTTTCTAAAAGTGCTTGTGTAATTTCCCATTTTCACCAGAAGTGTATGAGGAAGGTTCCAGTTTCTCCATATTCTCATCAATGTTACTCTTGTTGGGATTTTTAATTACAGCTATGTTAATGTGTATATAATGACATTTCATTGGGGTTTTAATTCTCATTGTCCCAATGACTAATGATGCTGAATATTTTTCATCCACTTTTTAGCCATTTATATATCTTTTTTGTGAAGTTCTCATTTAAATATTTTGTCTAGTTTTTATTAGTTTGTTCTATTTAAAACTTTAAAAATTTAGGAGTTTTAAGAACGCTTTACATATTCTTGAAACATGTTATTTGCCAGATAAATGTAACATAAATATTTTCTCTCCTTTCGTGGTTTGTCTTTTTGCTTTTATAATGGTGTATTTTGAAAACCAATTTTTTTATTTTTATAAAAATTTAATGTATTATTACGTATGTCCCTTTTCAAGTTAATTTTTCTAAATAATATGAAGTAAGGACTGAGTTCATTTTTTTAACATTACTAGCCAGATGTTCCAGCATTTTTTTTAAGAATGCCCTTTCCTCATTATATTGCCTTAGCACGTTTCTCAAAAATCAATTTACCATGTTGATCTATATCTAGATTCTATATTTTTTAATTCATCTATATTTATCTTTTTACAAATACCACATATATCTTGATTACGGCAGCATTATTAAAAATCTTGAAATCCAGTATTATGAATCCTCCAACTTTGTTCTTTCTAAATTGGTTTTTTATTTCATTTGCATTCCCATTTAAATTTTAAAATCAACCTGTCAAAACCGGCTGAGATATTTTAGTCTTTCATTTCTGGTCTTTTTCAATTATATGTCTTTTACTTATTTTTGACTAACTGAAATTACTAAGACTGCCAATAGATATCTTGACATTTTTGTCTTGGTCCTACTCTTGAGGAAAAAAGAGTTTTTCTCCATTAAGTATGTTACCTATATAATTTCCATTAATGTCTTTAATCAGGATAGGGAAATTCCTTCTAATTCCCAGCTGGCCAAAAATTTGTAACTTCAATAGATAGTGATTTGGTCAAGTGCTTTTTTGATGCATCATAATTTTTATATTACTGGATTTGATACTTAAATATTTTGTTAAAGTTGTTTTACTTATGTTCATGAAAGATATTAACATATAATTTTTTCTTGAAATATATTTGTCTGGTTTTGGTATCAGAGGATTACAGATATCATAAAATGAGTTGGAATGTATTCACTCCTTATCTGTTTTCTGAAATAATTTAGGTAGGATTGGCATTCTTTCTTTGTACTTTTTTTTTTTTTTTTTTTGAGAATTAACCAGTGAAAGTCTCTGGGTCTGAGATTTATTAGCAGGAAAGTTTAAATTTTGAATACAATACATTTTGTTAATTAGAGGTATTCAGGATTTCTATTTATTTTATTGACAGTTTTGTAATTTTTACTTTTGAAGAATTTTTTCAGTTCAAATAAGTTGTCAAACATATTAGTATAAAGTTTTAAATAATACTTAACTATTGTTTTAAAGATTTTAATGTCTGTATTAGCATCTTCTCTTTCATTCCTGATATTTATAATATTGCTTTCTTTTTAAATATTGTAATCAATCTTTCTAACAGGGGATGGTAAGCCACAATTCGTGGGCATATCCATCTTGCTACCTGTTTTTGTATCACCCATAGACTGAGAATGGCTTTTATAATTTTAAATATTTGAAAAAATACCAAAAGTGGAAAAGCACTTTGTAATACACCAAGATTATATAAAATTCAAATTTCAGTGTCAATAAAGTTTTATTGGAAAACATCTGTGTACATTTACTTACAACCCAATATATGCTTGCTTTTATGCTACATCAATAAAGTTGCATATTTATAACAAAGATCTCATGGCAGTAAGTCCTAAGAAGTAAATCATTTAGCCCTTTTCTGAAAATGCTTGCTAATATGAGTTTAGGATTTTATCAACTTTATTGATATTTCAAAAAACCGTTATTTACTTTTATTGATTTTTCTCTACTGGACATCTATTTTCTGTTTTACCCATTTCTGCTATTATCTTTATTATTTCTTCCACATGATATTGAATTAATTTTTCCTCCTCCATTTTCAGCTTTACAAGATGGAATCATTCATTATTGACTTTCTTGTTTTATTATATAAGCATTTAAAAATATAAAATTTTCTCTGAGCAAAGATAAGCTGTAGTCCACAAATTTGAATATGCTGTATTTTCATTTTTATGCAATCTATTTTTAAAAAACTGGTGACTTCTCTTTGCTGTGTAAAATGGAAATGTTTAATTCTAAATATTGGGATATTTTCTACATATGTTATTGATTATTTATAACATAATCTTGTTGTGGTCAGAGAATATTGTTTATAATATTTCAATATTTTGAAGTCTATTAAGATATTCTTATGGCCCACTATGAAGTTTACCTTGATGACTGCTCTGTGTGCACTTAAAATTATATTCTTCAGTTGTTGGTTGGAGTATTCTATGAATATCATTTAGCTAAATATGGTTGATCAATGCATTCTGATTTTTATATATTGATTTGGTGTCTAGCTGAACTATTAATTATGGAGAGATTTGTTTTAAGTCTCTCACTATGATTGTAGATTTGTGTATTTATCACTTTAGTTCTTTCAATATTTACTTCATGTATGTTGAAGCTTTATGCTATGGTTTGAATGTGTGCCCTCCAAAATTCAGGTATTGGAACCTAATACCCAATGAGATGGTATTAAGAACTGACTTTTAAGAGGTCATGAGGGTTTATCCCATCATGAATGGGATTAGGGTTCTTATAGAAGAGGCTTCACATAGCATTCAGCTTTCACTTGCTCTTCCACATTCCACTATGTGATGACACAGAGATCTTCCTCTTAAGAGGATTTAGGACCAGAGTACCACCTTGGAAGCAGAGGTCAGCCCTCCCCAGATGACCAAAGTACTAGCACTTTGGTCTTCAACTTGCCAGTTTCTAGAACTGTGAGAAATACATTTCTATCATTTATAAATTACGTAGTCTGAGTTATTTTGTTATAGCAGCACAAACAGACTGAGACAATTAAATTATTAGGTGTTTATACATTGGTAATTGCTTTATTCCTGATATTTTTATCCTTTTCTTGTTTGAAGTGTCTTGTTTCTATCAACAAGACATCAACAAGATGCCTTGTCTTGAAGCAAATGCTGCTTGATATTAATGTTGTCACTCTAATATTTTCATGCTTAGTATTGGTACTGTATGTAATTTTTCATCCTTTAACTATCTATATCTTTTTATTTACATGCATCTCTTCAAGATAAAATATCATTGGTTCTTGCTTTTGAACTCAGTCAATATGTGAATTTTGATTGAAGCTTTTATGTGTACATAAATTATGGATAAGAGTTTATGTCTATCACTTTACTATTCATATTCTATATATCACATATTTTTCTTTGTTCCTCATTTCCTGCCTTCCTTAGTTTTAATATCTACTTAAGTTTCTTTATTTTTGCCTATCTGCAACTTTTTGAATTATTTTTAATGATTAAGTATTAAAATAACCCCATTTACATTATGCTAATAAATATAGAGTTAATAGTGAAACACATTAAATAAAATATAGAAAACTTATGATAGTATATGACCATCTTTCCCTCCACCAATCCTTACTGATATTATTGACATATGTAGGCTATCTATCTATTTATCTATCTATCTAGATAAGGATATAAATTCACAAATAGTGTTATAGTTTTTGCTTTAAATTGTCATATGTCTTTTTAAAAATTATCGTATATATATATATATATACACACACGTACTCTATGTATACTGTTAATATATGCTATCATTCCTATTCACTACATGTTTAGCATTCCCAGTGCTCTTCACTTCTTTGCATAGGTTCGAGTTGCTATACAATATCATTTCCCTTTCAGCTGAAGAACTTGTGTTAAACATTTTGCAGAGCAGGCCCACTGGCAAAAAGTATTCCTAACTGTTATTTTTTGCAGGATAGTTTCACTTAATATAGAATTGTTATTTGGTATTTTTTCTTTTAGCACTTTGAATATGTCAATCCAATATCTTCTAGCCACCACAGTCTCAGGTTAGAAGTGAGTCATTAATTATATGATTAATTCCCTTTAGGCAAATTTTTGTTCCTCTGGATGCTTTCAAGATTTACTCTTAATGTTTGGCTTGCTGAAGTATGGCTATGATATGCCTTGGAGTATTTGTGAATATTTATCTTGGTTGGGGTATATCAAGTTTCTTCATTATGCAAGTAAATGTTTTACATGAGATTTTGGAGGATTTTGGTCATTAATTGTTTTGACGTTTCTTTTTCTTCATTGTTTTCTCTTAAGAATGTTTTCTTTTTGGCCATTTGTATGTCTTCTTGGGAGAAATGTCTATTCAATTCTTTTGTTTATTTTTTGATCAAGGTTATTTGAGGGGTTTTTTTTTTTTGCTATTGAGCTATGAGTTATAAGAGTTCCTTATATATTTTGGATATTAACTCTATAAGATATATGGTATACAAATATTTTCTCCCATTCTGTTGATTGCCCTTCAGTTTGTTGATTGTTTCTTTTGTTGTGAAGAAACTTTTAGTTTGATATAACCCTACTTATCTGGTTTTTTTCTTTTGTTGACCATGCTTTTAAAGTCATAGCCAAGAAGTCATTACTGATGCCAATGCCTTGAAGATTTTTCCTGTTTTTGTTTTTCTTTCCTAGGAATTTAATGGTTTCTAGCTTATTTAAGTCTTTAATCCATTTTGAGTTGATTATTGTGTATGGTATGAGATCAGGGTCCAGTTTCATTGTTTCGCATGTATAGAAATTTTCCCAACATCATTTATTAAAGAGACTATTCTTTCCTTATTGTCTATTCTTGACACCCTTGTCAAAAATCAGTTGACCACATATGTATAGTTGGATTTCTAGTCTCTCTGTTCCATTGGTCTATATATTTGATTTTATGCCAGTATCATGCTTCATTTTTGTTGCTCAAAATTGCTCTGGATATTTGGTGTCCTTTGTGGTTCCATATAAATCCTAAGATTGTTTTTTCTACTGTAAAAAGTGCCACTGAGATTTGGTAGGAATTACTTTGAATCTATAGATTGCTTTGGGTACTGTGAACATTTTAACAATATTAAATTCTTATCATCCGTAAGTATGGATGTCTTTTCCACTCATTTGTATCTGCTTTGTTTTTTTTTAAATCAGTGTTTTATAGTTTTCAGTGTACAAGTCTTTCACCTCCTTGGTTAAGTTTATTCTTAGTTACAAAAGGTAAAAATTGATTATCATATGATCCAGTAGCCCCATTTCTAGATACATAGCCTAAGGAATTTAAGTCAAGATTTTGAAGAGATATTTACATTTCCATGTTAATTATAGCATTATTCACAATAATCAAGATGGAAACAACTTAAATATCCATAAATGGATTTAAAAAATGTGATATATACATACAGCAAAGTATATTTATTCAGCATTAAAAAAGAGAAGGAAATTGTGCCATTTTCAACAACATGGGTGAACTCGGAGGACGTTATGTCTAATGAAATAAGCCAGACACAGAAAGACAAATACTACATGATATCACTTATATGATGAACCTAAAATAATCAAACTCATAGAAGCAGAGAGTGGAATAGTAGTGCCAAAGGAGGAAACAAGGAGATATTAGTCAAACAGAAACAAAAAGTTTCTGTTATATGAGATTTATAAGTCCGAGAGCTCTACCGTACAGTATAGTGCTTACAGCTGACAATATTGTATTACACACTTAAAAATTTGCTGGAGAGTACATCTTATGTTAAGTGTTCTTATCACAAGAAAACAACAATAATAATAAATAAGAGGGCAGGAGTGAATTTTTGGAGGCAACAATTAGTCTTATGGCATTGATTGTGGTGATGCTTTCCATAGTGTTTACTTACATTCAAACTTTTTAAGTTGCACAAATTAATTATGTATACTTCTTTGCAAAAAAAGATAACGATTTTTAAAAATTTCTAAAGAAAGCATTAGTTAACTCAATGCAAAAGAATATTTGAAAATGTCACAACATGAATAGGTGAAAAGTTTTCCAAGAATAAAAGTTGGTCCAAAATAAAAAAAAAAAATCTACCAATATGATTCTCCAAATTAACAGAACTAAGTAAAAAAAAAAACCTATCGTTATGGTTAATTTCATGTCAATTTGACTAGCAAAGGCATGTCCTGATAGCTGTTAAAACTTTATTTCTGACTCTATCTGTAAGGGTGTTTCTGTAAGAGGTTAGCATTTAAATAAATGAGCTGAGTAAAGGAAATCCACTGTCACCAATGTGAGTGGGCACATTTAATACCTTGAAGGACTGAATAACAGACAAAAGGAGAATTCATTGTCTTTCTTCTTGAGCTGGGACATCCATCTTCTCCTGACCTCAGACATAAGAGCTCCTGGTTCTTGGATCTTTGGACTATGGAATTTACATCAGAACTCACCCTCCACCCCCACAAACACACCCATTCAATTCTACCTTTACCCCACCCCCCATTTTCTAGGCCTTCTGACTCAGATTGAATTACACCACTGGCTTTCCTAGTTCTCCAGCTTACATATGGCATGTTGCAGAACTTTTGGCCTGCATAATAGCATAAGCCAATTCCCATAATAAATATTCTGTGTCTATATCTGTATCTATATATGCTACTGGTTCTGTTCCTCTAGAGAATTCTGAGTAATACAACCATTTCAAGAAACAATTATTAATAATTTTGAAACTGTATACAAATTAAATAAATGGAAACTTCATGACTTGGTAAAAGTTATACATTAAAAATCCATGTCGCTACAAAGGACACAAACTCATCCCTTTTTATGGCTGCATAGTATTCCATGGTGTATATGTGCCTTATTTTCTTAATCGAGTCTATCACTGAAGTACATTTGGGTTGGTTCCAAGTCTTTGCTATTGTGAATACTGCCACAATAAACATATGTGTGCATGTGTCTTTATGGTAGCATGATTTATAATCTTTTGGGTATATACCCAGTAATTGAATCGCTGGGTCAAATGGTATTTCTAGTTCTAGATCCTTGAGGAATTGCCACACTGTCTTCCTCAATGGTTGAACTAGTTTACACTCCCACCAGCAGTGTAAAAGCGTTCCTATTTCTCCACATCCTCTTCAGCATCTGTTGTGTTCTTTGTAGCGACATAGATGAAACAGGAAACTATCACTCTGAGCAAACTGTCACAAGGACAGAAAACCAAACACCACATGTTCTCATAGGTGGGAATTGAACAATGAGAACACTTGGACACAGGGTGGGGAACATCACACACCAGGGCCTGTTGTGCGGTGGGGTGATGGGGGAGAGATAGCATTAGGAGAAATACTTAATGTAAATGATGAGTTAATGGGTGCAGCAAACCAACACCGCACATGTATACATACATATGTAACAAACCTGCACGTTGTGCACATGTACCCTAGAACTTAAAGTACACACACAAAAAAAACAGTAAATATTTAACAATTGATAGAGGCACTTTATTTTTAAGGTCAGAGAGAATGCTGATACTATCAATTCTGCTCTTTATAATTGTATTGGAGGTTCTGTCCTATGTTATAATAAAATATACATTTTGTCTTTTCATAGATATTTACAAGAATAATTTCTACTCACAGGCTTCTGCAATGTGATCTTGTTACTTCCCTATCAAGAGACAGAGTTTGTTTTTCCACTTCCTTGAATGATCAAAGTCTCTGTGACTTAATTGACAAATACAATATGGCATACTCTTCCAACTTGACCTACTATAAAATTTACCTTTGAGATACTTACTCTTAGAATGCACCTGCTGTGTTGTGAGACATTTACGCCACTTGAAGAAGCTACATATAGAAGCTATAGCAGGCAGATACCAGCTGAAATTCCAGCTGGCAGCCAACATCAACTGTCAGTTATATGAATGAACCACCTTGAACAGCTATCCCGGTGAAGCTTCAGATGCCTGCAACACCAGCCAACATTCTAACCATACAAAAGACCAAAATTATAACCACACAAAAACCAAAAACAAAACTCAACCAAGTAAGCCAAGTCAACCCAGAGAAATGTAAGAAATATTTTATTTTTCTTTAAAGGCCTTAAGTTTTGGAGTGTTTGGTACACAGCAATAAAAACAGGAAGAAAACAACCAACATGGTATAAATATTGGAAGAGAAAACAGAAACAACAGGTAGACAAACTATTAATTATTATTTTATTCTGTCAGCCAACAGACAACCACTATAAGAGAGGTTGCAGGATAAAAGAATTAATGACCATAAGCAATAGCATTTCTGGGCTTTTGTTGTTGTTTTAATCAGAAAGTTTTATTTTCTACTTTTTTGTCAACAGGTTTTGGGGGAACAGGTGGTGTTTGGTTACATGAATAAATTCTTTAGTGGTGATTTCTGAGATTTCAGTGCACCCATCACCGGCGCAGTGTACACTATACCCAATGTGTAGTCATTTATCCCTCATCCACTCCCACCCTTTTTCCTGAGTCCCCAAAGTCCATTGTATCATTCCTATGCCTTTGCTCCCTCATAGCTTAGCTCCCACTTTAGAAGTGAGAACTTACGATGTTTGGTTTTCTATTCCTGAGTTACTTCACTTAGAATAATGTTCTCTAATTCCATCCAGGTTGCTGTGAATGCCATTGTTTCATTTCTTTTCGTGGCTAAATAGTATTCTATGGTATGTTTATATATATATATATAAACATGTGTGTGTGTGTGTGTGTGTGTGTACCACATTTTCTTTACTCATTGATTGATGGGCATTTGAGCTGGCTCTATTTTTTGCAATTATGAATTGTGCTGCTATAAACGTGTGCAGGTATCTTTTTCAGGTAATGACTTCTTTTCCTCTGGGTAGATACCCAGGAGTGGGATAGCTGGATCAAATGGTAGATTTACTTTTAGATCTTTAAGGAATCTCCATACTGTTTTCCATAGTGGTTGTACTAGCATTTCTTTATAACCAACTATAAAATATAACAAAATGTATGAATTTTCTAGGAATTAGCTTAATAAAGAATATAAAAGATTTCTATGGATAAAACTTTAAGACTCCAATAAAGGAAAATGATCATGATTTGAATAAGTGAAAAGACATTCCAGACTCTTAGATGAGATTATAGTGAAATAAAGTTACAAATTCTGCAAATTTATCAATAAATTTGATGCAAATTAAATAAAATTCTAACTATATTTCAAAAACTCAGTGAACTTGCTCTAAAAAGTATGAAGAAGAAAAATTAACAAATAGCAAAGTTGACTTTAAAATAAAAAGATGGTGAAGCAGGGGGAAATACTGTATTACATATGGGCATACAGCAAATCTATAGCAATAAATGAGTGGAATTAATGATTGATTCAATGATAAGATTACATATAATTCAATAGAGAAAAGACAATAAAATTATTAAATCGTGTGTTAGAGATTTCTGCTACATAACAAATTCCCCTAACATTAGCAACTTAAACCAGTAACCATTTATTATCTCACAGTTTCTAAGTGTCAGGAGTTCAGGTACAGCTTAGGCAAGTCCTTTCATCAGGGTCTCTCATAGTGCTGCAAATAAGATGGAGGTCAGGCCTACAGTCATTTTAATCTACTTCCAAGCTCACTTACATGGCTGCTGACAAGCCTCAGGTCCTCAATGGCTGTTGGCTGCATCAGTTTCTTGTCATGTGGCCCTCTTCATAGGACAGCTTACAACACGGCCGCTTGTTTCCCCAGAGGAAAAAGAAGACAGCAAATGAGACAGAAGTCCCAGACTTAGACCAGGCGTGGTGGCTCAAGCCTGTAATCCCAGCACTTTGGGAGGCCGAGGCGGGTGGATCACGAGGTCAGGAGATCCAGATCATCCTGGCTAACACGGTGAAACCCCGTCTCTACTAAAAATACAAAAAAATAGCCGGGCGTGGTGGCGGGCGCCTGTAGTCGCAGCTACTTGGGAGGCTGAGGCAGGAGAATGGCGTGAACCCGGGAGGCGGAGTTTGCAGTGAGCCCAGATCGCGCCACTGCCCTCCAGCCTGGGTGAC